>NT_167244.2:2304253-2410058 GCF_000001405.40 Homo sapiens
GGCCAGCAGCAGACTGTGTTCTATTGTCCATCCTGGTCTTAATCTTCTATTCAAATGTATTTCTCTTGTTCTATTTTAAGAAATAGAACATTTATATTTTCCCATTTTGGCTTTATGTATTCCTGTATGCAGTCTTGTAAATTTGTAGGAGGAGCCAGAGTGAGTACACAATACATAAATGAGAAATTCACACAAGCCACAAACAGTTAACATAATTTACAATCAACTTACCTGAGTTTCTTATTTCAGAGTCTCTGACCCCTCCCTAAGGGAAGAACAATATGTGACTCACCAGCCATGAGCAACCCCCTAAATGTTTAAGATAAAGATGTAATATTAGTTAACTAGCATTTTATTAGCTATCTACTAGGTATGAGGTCCAGGGCCCAGAGTGCTTAGAGGGCATCATCTCTCCTTTGCTCTGCTCAACCACCCTTGGGGATGCGTACTCCTATTATCCCATTTTATAGACTAGAAAACTGGAAGCAGAGACATAAGTAACTTGCTGAAGACCACAGGACAAGGCCACGCAGAGCTAGGCTCTAATTCTGGTCCGCTTGACAGCAGAGCCTGTGTTCTTAGCCAGAGTGTTTGTTTGTTTTTTTGAGCCGAAGCCTCACCCTGTTGCCCAGGCTGGAGTGCAATGGCACAATCTCGGCTCACTGCAACCTCCACCTCCCGGGTTCAAGCAATTCTCCTGCCTCAGCCTCCTGAGTAGCTGGGATTACAGGCATGTGCCACCATGCCCGGCTAATTTTTTGTATTTTTAGTAGAGATGGGGTGTCACCATGTTGGCCAGGCTGCTCTCGAACTCCTGACCTCATCATCTGTCCACATCGGCCTCCCAAAGTGCTGGGATTACAGGCGTGAACCACCGCACCTGGCCCACAGTGTTTTTTAGATAGTTCTCCAACCTTTAGCTCTTTATGGCCTGTCTCTTATTTTTCTTTATCTTTAAAAATTGAGGTGTAATTCTTACCAATAAAAAATGATAAGTATGCAAGGCAATAGATATGTTAATTTGATTTAATAATTTCAAAATGTATACATATATCAAAACATCACATTGTACACCATAAGTATATGCAATATTTATTCACCAGCTTTGAAAGTGGGAAAAACACAAACTGTGTTTCCTCTGCTCTCACACCACCACCAACACAAAACACTTCTGGTGACCAAATTAAGAGGGGAAGTTCTTCCCACACTAAGCAAGCAATCAGTTCTGCAGCAGACACCAGCTCGGTGTCCTCCGATTCAGTGCTGGCACTGCCTACCTGGAGATAGCATCAGATCCACAGACTAAGCGCGCAGTCCCTCAACACCAACCGCTCCTTCCCACAGGCTGCCAAGTCCAGGCCTCTGGAACTTCTGACCAACTGGAGCAAGTTGGAGTTGGCTACTCCTGTTTGGTTTCGATTAATTTGCAGGAGTGGCTGACTGAACTCAGGGAAACACCTTTACTGGTTTATTACAAAGGATATTACAAAGGATACAGGTGAAGAGGCGTGGAGGGAGAAGGAGCAGGGAGCTTCCATGCCCTCCCCAGCACTCCATCCTCCAGGAACCTCCATATGTTTTCTGAGCCCTGGCCTTTGGGGTTTTTACAGAGGCTTCATTATGTAGGTATACCTGATTAAACCATGGCCACTGGTAATCAACTTAACCTTCAGTCCCCTCTCCTCCCTGGAGGTTAAGGGTTAAGGGGTGGTGCTTTGGTCTTTCCGGTGATTAGCCCCCATCCTGTAGCCAACAGTTGACTCATTCGCATACAAAAAAAAAAATCACTTTTCAGTACCTAAGGATTTTAGGAGCTGCATGCCAGGAAATGTGCAGAAGTCCAAATATATGTTTCACGTATCAACTTAATACAGTTGGGAGAAAGGTTAAAAGTTAAATTACACTTAAAAATAAAAAGAACAGCCGGGCGCAGTTCTGTAACCTCAACACTTTGGGAGGCTGAGGCGGATGGATCATCTGAGGTAAGGAGTTCAAGACCAGCCTGGCCAACATGGGGAAACCCTGTCTCTACTAAAAATACAAAAATTAGTCGGGTATGGTGGCTTATGCATGTAATCCCAGCTATTCTGGAGGATGAGGCAGGAGAATTGCTTGAACCTGGGAGGCAGAGGTTGCAGTGAGCCGAGATCGTGCTACTGCACTCCAGCCTGGGTAGCAGAGCAAGACTCTGTCTCAAGAAATAAAAAAAAAATAAAAAGAACAATATTAATTGAAAAAAATAAATACTGTTCACAGATGAAAAAATTTTGAACTATAATTTACAAAAGTACACAAATATTATTTGTACAGCTTGATTAATTTCAAAATGTGTTAACACTTGTACAACCATTACCCAACTTAAAATGTAGAATATTTCTACCATCTGAGTAGTTTATTTTGTGGCCCTTCCCAGATAATACCCACTCCATCAAAGGTAAGCACTATTCTAGCTTCTATTTTATGAACTTTAAAAAAAATTTTTCATTTTAATTTTTGGATGGGGTCTCACTCTGTCACCCAGGCTGGAGTCCAGTGGTGCCGTCTTGGCTCACTGCAGCTTCTGTCTACCCAGAGATAGAGCTGGGTTCAAGTGATCCTCTCGCCTTGGCCTCCCAAAGTACTAGGATTACTGGCATGAGCCACTGTACCTGGCCTTATGAACTTTTATTTATTTTTACCTGACCTCATAGACATGCAACCTTTTTGGTTGATTTACACAATAAAAGATTCCCTACTCTTAGCTGACTCTGTTCCCAGGTACAGGATGCAAATTTACCTTGTCTTGTTTTTTTTATTTTTGTAGAGATGGGGTTTCACCATGTTGCCCAGGCTGGTCTCTGGAATGCCTGGGCTCAAGCAATCCACCTACCTCAGCCTCCAAAAGTTTTGGGATTACAGGCACGAGCCACCATGCCCAGACTTATCTTGTCTTGAAAGTTGAGCAGCATAGATCCCTACCAAGGTACAAGTATACTAATTAGGAAGACTGTTTTCTCCAATAAATAAATAAATAAGAGGAAGAGAGTCCTAAATATCATCCACACACACACACACACAGGAAGACTTGATGAGAAAATAGACAATATTGAAAAGTGAAAATTTATGAATTTTGATAATCCAAGGTTTAATGATAAGAAAGAAAAGGAGTTAACTACTAATATATATATTTTTCTCTTTTAGAAGGATCTTTCTTTACCCTGACAAATAGAGGCATTTATAACCTCCATGACAACAGCCTTGACCTTGGTTTATACCTGGACTCAGTCCTGGGCTCTGGGACATTCCACAGCCTGGGAAATGCACTCATTCATGGAGGGGGACTTGAGATGGGACACACAGGAACACATGGCTTTGGACATGGAGTGGGCCATGAGCTGAGCCACAGCCATGGAGATGGCTGTGGAGTGAATCATGGTGGGCGTTATGGACTTGGAGGAGGCTACAGCAATAATCATGAAATGCATCACAGAGAAGGTCGCCAAGGCAAAGGAGAGTATAGACATAGACTGGATAATGGAAGGTGCTATGGAAAAGAAAATCTTGGGGAAGAAGGGGGATCATGGAGGAGAAGGTAGTGACCATAAAATGGGTCAGGATGGGCTTCTCTGAGGTCTCCAAGGGATTGGCCATAGAGATGGTCATGATCAAAATCAAGAAAAGAACCAGAGAAAAGAGCACAGAGGGTTTGGCCAACGGGACAGTCAGAAAAATAGGGAGTGGTTCTGGAGGAGACCTGCAGCCTCACCAGCTTTGGGTGTGAGCTCAAGTGAAAATATCCCCTGAGCATAACCATGGTTCCAACTCTTGTGGGGAGGAGGGGTCACGATGATCAAGCTCAGAACAATTTCTCTTTGATCTCTCAACACACAAGTCAGAACTCTTTAGGCTTTGGCTTTCTATCGTTTCCTCAGGATGGAACCTGACCAGTAGGAGGAAGAATAAGATTATCACAGTTTATAATAATGGAGGGGGTAAAAAATTTCCCCTGAGAATTTGTAATTACACAACTTTCTTTATTTGGATTTGTAACTTCAAACTCTACAAACTGAGTAGATCAGAAAATCCTGTTAGACTCACTCAGTGCCCTCCAGTTCTTCATCTTTGGGAAGAGTCTCCCTCCCTACTTCTTTGCCTCTTTCAAATGCTATGTGATAAGTTAGAAGAAATTTACTGGGACAGTGCTACAAATTAAAATCTCAAAATACACCTGGCATCTATGTATTTATGTATTTATGTTTGTCTTTTTTATTTTCCCTTTGTCCTTTATTATTGCATGCTTATTAAGTGCCAAACACTATGCTAGTGCCTGTAAATACATCACCATTTATTTCTCAAAACAATCCAATGACAACTTAAACTTCTTGCTATATAATGGACTACGTGCCCTGACTGAAAATACACTGTAAAGCTAAGTTATGGACTTCAAAATCTTCTTAAAAGAGTCAGTGAATTGGCATGAAAGTATGGAATGCTAAAATTAAAGACTAAATAGGACCCAGGAGGTAAGGGAAGTAATGAAGCCAACTTTTGCAAAACCCAAAGAACTTAAGCTTCGGGTATTACAGCTTCAGCTGGATCAGCCCAAGGTCATGGGTGGGGAGGAATCACATAAATCTGTAACTTTCAGTGAGAATGTAAACTAAAAATAAACCTGCCCCTCCTCTAAGGAAATGTAAGCAAAATTGCCTGTCTCTAAATTTGGTGCAGAGGAGGGTAGAGGGAGTATCCCTTGAGAAATAAATTGTAACCACAACAACCAACAATACCTTACTTACATGGTTTGTAGCCACAAATCATGCAGTCTAGGTAATTCAAAAGACCGCAATCCTATAGTTTAGCTTAAAATAATCCTCAAATTATACAGCATATATATGTATTAAAACATTAAATTGTACCCCATAAGTATATACAGTAACAATGTTAATAAAATATTTTAATTAAAAATATAATAATAAAATAATCCTCAAATGGTAATGTCTCCATATGCTTGGAAAAAACATGCAAATTCTCTGTGAAAGATCGTAGCTTAATCTGTAATTCCAGAAATTTGGGAGGCCGAGGCAGTAGGATTGCCTGAGCCCAGAAGGTCAAGGCTGCAGTGAGTTATGCTAGTGCCACTGCAGCCTTGATCTCGACAGATAACATTCCAAGAAAAATAAATTTATAGTCATGATTCTCAAATCATAAGTGAAAACAGACACCCTGAGTGAAAACCAGCAAGGAAGAAAACAAAACCAAAAAGCTAGACAGCAGTATCAGATCCTCAAAGACTTTAGGTATTGAAATTATTAAATACAGAATATAAGGTAAGTAGGTTTAAATGTACGTCCTGGCTTTATTTTTAATTTTTTTTATTTTTACTTTTTGTGGTACATAGTAGGTGTATATATTTATGGGGTACATGAGATGTTTTGATACAGGTATGCAATGTGAAATCAGCACATCGTGGAGAATGGGGTATCTATCCCCTCAAGCATTTATCCTTTGAGTTACAAAAAATCCAATTACACTCTTTATGTTATTTTAATATATACAATTAAGTTATTATTCACTATAGTTACCCTGTTGTGCTATCAAAGAGTAGGTCTTATTCATTCTTTTTAATTCATTTGTTTTTTTAAATTAATTTAATTCATTTAATTAATTCATTCATTAACCATCTCTACCTCCCCCAGTCCTCCCCACTACCTTTCCCAGCCTCTGGTAACCATTCTTCTAGACTCTATGTCCATGAGTTCAGTTGTTTTTGATTTTTAGATCCCACAAATAAATGAGAACATGCAATGTTTGTCTTTCTGTGCCGGGTTTTTCACTTAACATAATGATCTCCATGTCCAGCGATGTTGTTGCAAATGACTGGATCTCATTCTTTCTTTATGGCTGAATGATGCTCTACTATGTATATGTACCACGTTTTCTTTTCTTTTCTTTTTTTTTTTTTTTTTTTTTTTCCGAGATGGAGACTTGCTCTGTCATCCAGGCTGGAGTGCGGGCAGTGGCTCGATCTGGGTTCACTGCAACCGCTGCCTCCCAGGTTCAAGCAATTCTTCTGCCTCAGCCTCCCGAGTAGCTGGGATTACAGATGCCTGCCACCACGCCCGGCTAATTTTTGTATTTTTAGTGGAGATGGGGTTTCACCATGCTGGCCAGGCTGGTCTCGAACTCCTGACATCATGATCTGCCCACCTGTGCTTCCCAAAGTGCTGGGATTACAGGCATGACCGTGCCTGGCTCTTTTTTTTTTTTTTTTGAGATGGAGTCTCACTCTGTCGCCCAGGCTGGAGTGCAATGGCACAATCTTGGCTCACTGCAACCTCCGTCTCCCAGGTTCAAGCAATTCTCCTACCTCAGCTTCTCGAGTAGCTGGGATTACAGGCGCCCGTCACCACACTGGGCTAATTTTTGTATTTTTAGTGGAGATGGGATTTTGCCATGTTGGCCAGGCTGGTCTTGAATTCCTGACCTTATGATCCACCCACTTCGGCCTCCCAAAGTGCTGGGATTATAGGTGTGAGCCACTGCGCCCGGCCTGTACCACACTTTCTTTATTCATTCATCCATTAATAGACACTTCCAAATCTTAGCTATTGCAAACAGTGCTGCAACAAACGTTGGAGTGCGGATATTTCTTTGATACACTGATTTCTTTTCTTTTGGCTACCTCCTCAGCAGTGGGGTTGCTGGATCATGTCACGGCTTTATGGTTGTCTGCTAACACCCATTCTCCACCTTTAGCAACAGATCTCTCAAGTGTCAGCTGAGCACACGTCTACCCAGCTAGAGACAGTCTTTCTCAGTTTCTCTTGCAGCTTAACATGGCTGTGTGACTGCGTTCAGGCTGAGGGTGTGTAAGCAGACAACAATAATTTTTTTTTTACAATAATCTTTCATGAAGTTAACAAACAAGAAGGAATTAAAATACTTGATGATATTAGGGTATGATTTGGGAGATGGGTAATACGAATTAAAATGTTCTGAGGTCTTTGTGTTATTTTGATAGCGAGTAAAGATATTAATTACATTAGGCTCTGATAAGTATGCGCGCTACAATTTTCAGAGTACCCTCTAAAAGGTGAAATTTGGACTTGAATCCAGGATCTCAGTTTCTAAATAATTCTGGAAGAAGAAAATTCTTAGAGTGCTATTGGCTTTTCAGCTGCAGAATACTGGCACATCAGAAGAATTGCTGGGAGTCCAGGACCCAACCTGTCACTGAGCGTTCCCGCATACCTGACCCTCTGGAACTTCCCATCACAGCCACTAGGCAGACTCACTTCTGAGCCTTTCCCAGCACACCGCTGACCCTTTCTGTTTCTCCAGCTCACTCATTCAGAGCTCCTTCATGTCTTCAGCCACCTCCTGCTTGCCAGCTTCCTTCTAACAGAACTTGCATGTCAGGAAAGCTCGTTCGCCTACAAATAAACTATCTGAGAGACTGTGTCTTCCAGGAAGCTTCTCGTCATTGTTGGGGGAAATGCAGACAACTCACTTTGGTCATTGCAATGGTTTGGATGTGGTTGTTAAACCCTGCCAAGTCTCATGTTGAAATTTGATTCCCAATGTTGGAGGTGGAGCCTGGTGGGAGGAGTTTGGGTGGTTGAAACAGATCCCTCATGAACAGCTCGGTGCCATTCTCAACCAGTGAGTTCTCACTCTTAGTTCCCACAAGAACTGGTTGTTGAAAAGATCCTGTCACCTCCTCCATTCCTTCTTTCCAGCTTCCTCTCTCTCGCTATATGATCTGTGCAAACCGGCTCCCCTTCTCCTTCGGCCACGAGTGGAAGCTTTTTGAAGCCCTCACCAGTGCAGACGTTGGTGCCATGCTTCTCATACAGCCTGCAGAACCGTGAGGCAAATAAGCCTCTTTTCTCTATGTCACCCACAGTCAGGGATTCCTTTATAGCAACACCAATGGACTATGACAGAAAATACAGACTGTATATTGGAACCCCATCAGCCTGGTCACAGATGCCATCTCAGACCTCCCCAAACCCTCTGCTCATTTGGGTCTCTTCAGTCACGCTCTTTTAGCTGACTGTTTCCCCTCTGCTGGCCATACCCAAGTGTCCAGACCAAATTCAAGCCTCCTCCAGGACTTGGACTGTTGATCTCCCTCCTCCCATCAGACTGTGTCCCGATATGGCACTGTGTCTCTCCCTAAGGTGTGTACTCTCCTGAGAGACGCTTCCTTGGAACTGATGCTAAGGCACATCAGAAGGATCTCAGGGTGGAAAGGCTCCTATACAGCCGTCTGAAAACAAAAACAAAACAGAGGGGAGCTCCTATGGTTGAGGGTCAGAAGGAGACCCTACCTTCCTTCTCCTGCTATGAGTCTGACAGGGGGCGTATTCAATACTCTCCCACACCCTCAGTTCTCATGCCCCAGAGACCCCAAACATGTTTTCATTATCTCTCTTCATTATGTCTTCTGGATCTCTCTTCCCCTGTTCCTTCAATGTGCATTGTTGAGTGCTTACTGCATACTCAGTAATACTCCATTTGTCTTCTGCCCATAACCCAGGAGCCCAGAGTCCTAGTTACTGGTCTCTTTTGCGTCACCTATTACTGTTTGCTGTAGAGATGTGAGGTCCTACTCTCTTGGCTCAGTTCATTAGGGCTTCTTTCATGCTAAAGCAGGCCCACAGGACTTCCTGACCAGAAAACAAATTCTTGAGCTGCAACAGGTTTCTAACCCGATCCCTGCTTCAAAGGGTGGGTCCCTTCCACTCTGACAACCATGATCTCCTCATCCCATTCTACTTCCTGCTGCAACCCAGCCAAGCACCCTGCCTAGTGTGGTCATGTCATTCTCCTTTCTCACCTTCCTCTTGACCCCTGCTCTATTCCGTCCCAGGCTTGGTATCGTTCTCTCACCTGCCTGTAGTTGGCAGACTGTCAGGTCAACTGCCCCACCCCTCCTCAGACCATATGAAGCTATAAAGGCCCCTGCAGCTCTTTCACAACAGAGAAAGAGGCAACTACATTGCCTGGAGGAAGCCTAAGGAACCCAGGCATCCAGCTGCCCACGCCTGAGTCCAAGATTCTTCCCAGGAACACAAACGTAGGAGACCCACGCTCCTGGAAGCACCAGCCTTTATCTCTTCACCTTCAAGTCCCCTTTCTCAAGAATCCTCTGTTCTTTGCCCTCTAAAGTCTTGGTACATCTAGGACCCAGGCATCTTGCTTTCCAGCCACAAAGAGACAGATGAAGATGCAGAAAGGAAATGTTCTCCTTATGTTTGGTCTACTATTGCATTTAGAAGCTGGTGAGTGATTTTATTTAAAATCGGGTGGTCTGAGAACCTTTGAGGAGTTGGGAGAGAAATGTGACCACTACTGGGGCCAGCTCTGCTTCTCTTCCATAGAGTGAGGATCATCATTTTACTCGAATCACTTCAGCCTAACAAGGTATGTCATGCAGGAAGCAGTCAGACACAGTGGTTAAAATTGGGCTCTGGTCTCACATTGCCTACATTTGAATTATGGCTCCATCTATTAACTGTGTACTTTAGGTCAGTTGCTTCTCTGCGCCTCGATTTCTGCATCTGTAAAATGGTAACAACCTGTGTAATATGGTTGGGGTTTTAAATATTAAGAACAAGAAGAGTCGGCTGCTTTTAAAATGTCACTCTTCTGGCGGGGTGCGGTGGCTCATGCCTTTAATCCCAGCACTTTGGGAGGGTGAGGCAGGCAGGTCATTGAGGTCAGAAGTTCAAGACCAGCCTAGCTAACGTGGCAAAACCCTGTCTCTACTAAAAATACAAAAATTAGCTGAGTGTGTTGGCTTGTCCCTGTACTCCCAGCTACTCAGGAGGCTGAGGCAGGAAAATAGCTTGAACCCGGGAGGCGGAGGTTGCAGTGAGCCAAGATGGTGCCACTGCACTCCAGCCTGGGTGACGGAGTGAGACTCTGTCTCAAAAAAATAAAATAATAAAATAAGGCCAGGCTCAGTGGCTCACGCCTGTAATCTCAGCACTTTGGGAGGCCAAGGCGGGTGGATGTCTTGAGGCCAGGAGTTTCAGACCAGCCTGGCCAACATGGTGAAACTCCATCTCTACTAAAAGTACAAAAATTAGCCTGGCGGGGTGGCTTATGCCTGTAATCCTAGCTACTCAGGAGGCTGAGGCAGGAGAATCGCTTGAACGTGGGAGGCGGATGTTGCAGTGAGCTGAGATTGCTCCACTATACTCCAGCCTGGGTGGCAGAGCAAGACTCCGTCTCAAAAACAAATAAATAAATAAGCAATAAAATAAAATAAAATAAAATAAAATAAAATAAAATACCACTCTTCTATATTCTACAAACTCAATTTCTCTCCTACCCCTACACCTAATTCCTCGTCAGCTTCCCACGTACAGGCTGGGGAGGTTGAATGTCTTCATCCTTCTGGGAAATCAAGGGCAAAAATTTGACATAACCTTAACTCCAGCCAAGCCTCCAAGAAGTTAAAAGCCTTCCCTCTACCTTTAGACGTTGGTTTACAGCCCTTATTCCTGGGAGCTCTTATGTATTTGAGCTACATATAACTCGTTCTTCTCTAGCCTTGGCCATAGTGATCAAGGGCCCCTGAAACTTGAATGCATATAGTCACCTGGCTTCTTGTTGTACATGCAGACTCCTGGGCCCCATCTCAAATTCTAATTCATTTAGTCTGGAATGATTTGCTTAAGAATATTTTCAACATGCTCCCTTAAGTAATTCTGAAATAAGTGTGTTCTGAATATTATTCTGAGAAATATTTTCCAAGAAGGAAGCAATACTACTTAAGAAAAAAATTGATCAGTATATACTAGTTTCACCTAGTCCTATAATTCTTTTATAATACTTTATATCTGTATTGTATCTTGCATAGCAGAATGTGGAAAAAGGTTAGCTACCAGTGAAACTAGATGATGTAACTCTGGCATTGTGGGTGGGTGGTTGACTTAGCTTAGTCTCCACAAGTGCAGATTTAGTAGCCTGGGTTCAGTTTCCTGTTCCACCACTCACTAGCTGTGTAAACTTGGGCCAGTGTCAACTTTTTTTTATTTTTTATTTTTGAGACGGAGTTTTGCTCTTGGCACCCAGGCTGGAGTGCAATGGCTCGATCTCGACTCACCGCAACCTCTGCCTCCCGGGTTCAAGTGATTCTCCTGCCTCAGCCTCCCGAGTAGCTGGAATTAATGCCCGGCTAATTTTGTATTTTTAGTAGAGATGGGGTTTCTCCATGTTGGTCAGGCTGGTCTCGAACTCCCAACCTCAGGTGATCCGCCCACCTTGGCCTCCCAAAGTGCTGGGATTACAGGCGTGAGCCACCGTGCCCAGCCCAGTATCAACATTTTGAAGCCTCAATTTCTTCATCTCAGCTGGTGATAATAATAGCATCTATGTTATAGCACCATAGTGAGCATTAAATAAAATTATGTAATGAATTTAGCCAAGCAATAAGCAGAAAGTATATACACACAATATATATTTGTCATTATATGATTTCTTCAGCAACAAATTCCAATGAGACTAGCACCTCTGCCAACACTGGATCCAGTGTGATCTCCAGTGGAGCCAGCACAGCCACCAACTCTGGGTCCAGTGTGACCTCCAGTGGGGTCAGCACAGCCACCATCTCAGGGTCCAGCGTGACCTCCAATGGGGTCAGCATAGTCACCAACTCTGAGTTCCATACAACCTCCAGTGGGATCAGCACAGCCACCAACTCTGAGTTCAGCACAGCGTCCAGTGGGATCAGCATAGCCACCAACTCTGAGTCCAGCACAACCTCCAGTGGGGCCAGCACAGCCACCAACTCTGAGTCCAGCACACCCTCCAGTGGGGCCAGCACAGCCACCAACTCTGACTCCAGCACAACCTCCAGTGGGGCTAGCACAGCCACCAACTCTGACTCCAGCACAACCTCCAGTGAGGCCAGCACAGCCACCAACTCTGAGTCCAGCACAACCTCCAGTGGGGCCAGCACAGCCACCAACTCTGAGTCCAGCACAGTGTCCAGTAGGGCCAGCACTGCCACCAACTCTGAGTCCAGCACAACCTCCAGTGGGGCCAGCACAGCCACCAACTCTGAGTCCAGAACGACCTCCAATGGGGCTGGCACAGCCACCAACTCTGAGTCCAGCACGACCTCCAGTGGGGCCAGCACAGCCACCAACTCTGAGTCCAGCACACCCTCCAGTGGGGCCGGCACAGCCACCAACTCTGAGTCCAGCACGACCTCCAGTGGGGCCGGCACAGCCACCAACTCTGAGTCCAGCACAGTGTCCAGTGGGATCAGCACAGTCACCAATTCTGAGTCCAGCACACCCTCCAGTGGGGCCAACACAGCCACCAACTCTGAGTCCAGTACGACCTCCAGTGGGGCCAACACAGCCACCAACTCTGACTCCAGCACAACCTCCAGTGGGGCCAGCACAGCCACCAACTCTGAGTCCAGCACGACCTCCAGTGGGGCCAGCACAGCCACCAACTCTGAGTCCAGCACAACCTCCAGTGGGGCCAGCACAGCCACCAACTCTGGGTCCAGCACGACCTCCAGTGGGACCAGCACAGCCACCAACTCTGAGTCCAGCACAGTGTCCAGTGGGGCCAGCACAGCCACCACCTCTGAGTCCAGCACGACCTCCAGTGGGGCCAGCACAGCCACCAACTCTGAGTCCAGCACAGTGTCCAGTGGGGCCAGCACTGCCACCAATTCTGAGTCCAGCACAACCTCCAGTGGGGCCAACACAGCCACCAACTCTGGGTCCAGTGTGACCTCTGCAGGCTCTGGAACAGCAGCTCTGACTGGAATGCACACAACTTCCCATAGTGCATCTACTGCAGTGAGTGAGGCGAAGCCTGGTGGGTCCCTGGTGCCGTGGGAAATCTTCCTCATCACCCTGGTCTCGGTTGTGGCGGCCGTGGGGCTCTTTGCTGGGCTCTTCTTCTGTGTGGTGAGTGCCTAATATGTAAGAAAATGCCTGGGGGAAGGAGCAGCAGAAACACAAGGAAATGGGTGTGAATAGAAGGGGTCTCAAGTCAGGGGTGGGTAGGGAGGAAGGGAGATCAGGAAAGAGTAACACAGAGACATGGTAGGTCAATGCAGAGGAAGCTGCTGACCTGCGGGAAAAGGGGGCCACAGAAAGGACTGGAGAAAGGAGAACTAGGTAAAGAGTATGGTTGGAAGTGGGAGAAGATTCCAGAAGGCGTACGTGGTAAAGGCGTGGGAGACAGGGATGCAATTCTGAAACTATTGACTCTTCTTTTTTTAGAGAAACAGCCTGTCCCTGAGAAACACCTTTAACACAGCTGTCTACCACCCTCATGGCCTCAACCATGGCCTTGGTCCAGGCCCTGGAGGGAATCATGGAGCCCCCCACAGGCCCAGGTGGAGTCCTAACTGGTTCTGGAGGAGACCAGTATCCTCGATAGCCATGGAGATGAGCGGGAGGAACAGCGGGCCCTGAGCAGCCCCGGAAGCAAGTGCCGCATTCTTCAGGAAGGAAGAGACCTGGGCACCCAAGACCTGGTTTCCTTTCATTCATCCCAGGAGACCCCTCCCAGCTTTGTTTGAGATCCTGAAAATCTTGAAGAAGGTATTCCTCACCTTTCTTGCCTTTACCAGACACTGGAAAGAGAATACTATATTGCTCATTTAGCTAAGAAATAAATACATCTCATCTAACACACACGACAAAGAGAAGCTGTGCGTGCCCCGGGGTGGGTATCTAGCTCTGAGATGAACTCAGTTATAGGAGAAAACCTCCATGCTGGACTCCATCTGGCATTCAAAATCTCCACAGTAAAATCCAAAGACCTCATTCTTATCTGTGTGTCTGCATTTTCTAATCCTTTTTGCCCCAGGCAAGGTCCCTGTATCTCTGAGACACCCCGATTGGCTGGAGAATTGACTTGGGAGAGATAAGGAGGGAGGGCGGGTGCCAGCATGCTATGGGCTCCTGCGTGAGGCCTGTGGTACACAGAGATTAGGTTGTGATACATGAAGAGCCAAGAGCAGGATGAGGTGGAGGCGTTACAACTACCTGCTCTGTGTGTGGGGGGGGAGGGGGGAGGGGGGTACGCATATTCACTTGAAGTCGAGGTTCCCAGGGCATTTCCATGTGCTCCAGGCCTGACTACCCATCAGGGTGGAGGAGCTGGTGACACTCATCTCCCTGAGTGCTCCCTGGTTTCCCAAGGGAAAGACTTTCTGGCCTGCTGAGGTCGAATCTTCCAAGAGGCTCTTGCAAAGACCCGAGATTCTCATAAATCCCCGCCCAGAAGAGCTGCACGTATCCCTTTCATGAGTCCAGGGAAGAGGGTCCTCCAGGTCTTGGAAGACAGAGGGGAGCTGCTTTAGAGGCTAAGTTGCTTTGAGCCCACAAGGTAATGGAGGGCTCCTACTTGGGACAGAGCCCTCAGCAGAGAATTAGCAGTCTGTTGGTGGGTTCACCCCAACTCACAGCAGTAGAAACTGCTCCATCTTCCACCACTTATTGGGTTTCTCCAGTGTCAGCAAACCAAAGAATTGGATCTTACCAATGCGGCTATAGGAAAACAGCCTGTTGCATGGTAAGAGTGATACCATCTTGAAGTGAAACCACCACAATGGCCATTTTTTTTTTAGATGGAGTTTTGCAGTGGTGCAATCATAGCTCATTGCAGCCTTCAATTCCTGGGCTCAGGCAATCCTCCTGCCTCAGCCTCCTGAGTAGCTGGGACTACAGTTTCGTGTGCCACCATGCCTGGCTAATTTTTAGAATTTTTTGTAGGGACAGGGCCTCACTCTGTTGCACAAGCTGGTCTTGAACTCCTGGCCTCCTTGAACTCCTCCTGCCTTGGCCTCCCAAAATGCTGAGATTACAGGTGTGAGCCACTGCACCTCGCCAGATGTCCAATGTCTGACTCCTGCATACCAAGGTGTTCTGTATCAAGGGCTTTAAAACAATGCCTGTAGCGTAATTAACCTCTCACAAAGATGCTTATCTAACCTCCCCAGCAGTCATGGGTTTCAGCAAGAAAGTCTGTGATGTGACCAGTTGCACATGTTTTCCCCTAAAAGCTTACTCTAGAAAGGATATTTTTTGGAGAGGGAGTGTGGGAATCCACCATCTTGTGGCCACCTCAGACATCACTTCTCTTTGGAAGACTCCATTAAATATTTCTCTGTGAGAAACTGGATTTGTCAGTCTCTTTCTTTGATCTCTTTTCCCCTCAAAATTTAGGGGTAGGTTTGTGTAGACCTGTTCATGGTAGAACATTTGGTGATCCCCCAGCCAGTAGCTGGGAGAACAAGGAATGGGTAAGGAGAATGAAGCATCTGTAAGGAAACCCCAGGGCGGCAGCCACGTCTGTGTAGGGTTGGATGGCACAACTGTTCGATACCTGTGTACCTCTGTGTGAGTGCAGGGATGCCTTGAAAATGCCAGGTGGCCTAGAGCAGTTATTAACTGAAAGCCGCATAGTGCACTGGGGTACGGAAGGTCGGCCAATAGCCACTGCAGAGGGTTGGGTGCTTCTTTTGGCAATGAAGATCCGGCTAGCAGCAGAAGCCAAAATTAAATGTCTAGAGAAGGAATTGCAACTAGAAAAAGACGTGTACCTCTCCATGTCTCTCCTCACATCCAACTTAGCAAACAAAATTGAAGACCAAGAGACAAAAATTGAAATGTTAGCATGTAGATTTGTCCACCTAGGGCGAAAGATATGGAAATGACCAAAAATCAGAGCTCTCATGAGAAAGCCCAACCGGGATGTGAAAACTTGGAATCCCTGGGATTGTTATGAAGAGGAAGACTGATGACATAGAAGTCACAGGTGTGGAGGGGGATGGGGATCATTGGCAAGCTCGCTGTCTCATGCAAAGGAAAGTGAAACCTAACATTGGCAGCAAAACGGGGGTCAGCTGATACAGGAGACTCTCACTGTCAGGGAACCTACCGCTGCAGAACTCTTAGAGATTGCAAAGGCCTTTAAACAACTACCGAGGAAATCCCTGGCTGCTTGGATGGTCTGATTGTGGGACACAGGGGCTGATGATATTTCCTTAACAGGAGAAGCAGAAAAAATGAGTAACATCACCACCCATGCAGCCCTGCAGAAGCATCTTTGCTAAGGCAAGGCAGACGCAAGGGAGTCATAGCTTATGGACTGGCTCATTCTAGCTATGAGGGAGGCTTGACCTAATGAGGGAAATTTACCGGGAAGGATGACCTCCTGGCAGTCAACAGAAAAGGCCCAAGGGCTTCTCCAAGAATTAGGAATGAGTCAAGTCATCTATGTTTGGGTTCTCACAGGACTTAAAACAGTTTTTTCCTGCAGGGATGAAAAATAAATTGCTGAAGGGTGCACCAGGAGAATGGCACAACCCTTGGCTCATGTTATTGAGTCCTATAAATGGGACAAGAAGTATATGATGTGGGAAGGCCAGGCACAGGGGCTCACACCTGTAATTCCAGCAATTTGAGAGGCCGAGGCAGGCGGATTACTTGAGATCAGGAGTTCGAGACCAGCCTGGACAATATGGTGAAACCCCATCTCTACTAAAAATACAAAAATTAGCTAGGTGGTGTGCCTGTAACCCCAGCTACTTGGGAGGCTGAGGTAGGAGAACTGCTTGAACTCAGGAGGCAGAAGTTGCAGTCAGCTGAGATTGGGGCACTGCACTCCAGCCTGGGCAACAGAGTGAGACCCCGTCTCAAAAAAAAAAAAAAAAAAAAAAAAAAAAAGGGCTGGGCACGGTGGCTCATGCCTGTAATCCCAGCACTTTGGGAGGCCGAAGTGGATGGATCACCTGAGGTCAGGAGTTCAAGACCAGCCTGGTCAACATGGTGAAATTCCTTCTCTACTAAAAATACAAAATTAGCCGGGCATGGTGACAGGCGCCTGTAATCCCAGCTACTTGGGAGGCTGAGGCAGGAGAATAGCTTGAACGTGGGAGGCGGAGGTTGCAGTGAGCCGAGATCGTGCCATTGCACTCCAGCCTGAGCAACAACAGCGAAACTTCGTCTTAAAAAAAAAAAAAAAAAGATGTATATGACGTAGGAGAAGCCATCACAGATTTGGGAGCTACTGAGAAAGCTAGGGACGGGGTGTGCTTTGTAACCCGGCAAGGGCTGACAAAGGGGAAAGATAATGCTCCACAGGAAGAAGGGGGAAAATAAGGGAAAGCGACCAACTAGAGTCAAGAACAGGCAAATGTGGCATGACTTATTGGGAGCAGAAAAATTCTGAGAAAAAAATATGTAAAAAATGTTAAAATATGGAAAATATGAAAAATGCTGTGTTAGTAGCCTTATGGAGGGAAGTACAGACTGAAGGGCTGTTTTGTCCCTTCATTTCTGCCCCTCTAGCAGAAGAGGAAGATGACTCAACCCCTCATTCTAATACTCCAGCCTATCAGAGGGGGATTCCATGCTGGGCCCAAGATTAGCAGTGGGACCAAGGTCAACCCCACGTTGCAGGTGACCAGAGGCCCCATATTGAGCTCACCATTTACTGTTCCTCTCAAAAAAATAAGGAGAAGACTATTTCCTTAGTAGATACTAGGGCAGAATATACTTTAATTCATGGAAATCCATAAATACACCCTGGTCAATGGTCTGCCATCACTGGTTATGGGGACAAACGATCTGGATGAGAAGGACTTTAATACATCTAGGTATTGGGGAAGCTCCCCTGCCCCATATGTGGTGTTTATTTTTCTTATTCCAGAAAACATTTTAGGCACAGGTATTCTGTTAGGAAAGACTTAGCAAACTTCAGTGGAAAAATTCAGATCGAAGGTGCATGTAGTGAAGACTGTTTTTTTTTTTTTTTTTTTCTTTTTCTTCTTTCTTTTTATTTATTTATTTATTTATTTATTTATTTTTTATTGATCATTCTTGGGTGTTTCTCGCAGAAGGAGATTTGGCAGGGTCATAGGACAATAATGGAGGGAAGGTCAGCAGATAAACAAGTGAACAAAGGTCTCTGGTTTTCCTAGGCAGAGGACCCTGAGGCCTTCCGCAGTGTTTGTGTCCCTGGGTACTTGAGATTAGGGAGTGGTGATGACTCTTAACGAGCATGCTGCCTTCAAGCATCTGTTTAACAAAGCACATCTTGCACCGCCCTTAATCCATTTAACCCTGAGTGGACACAGCACTCGTTTCAGAGAGCACAGGGTTGGGGGTAAGGTCACAGATCAACAGGATCCCAAGGCAGAAGAATTTTTCTTAGTACAGAACAAAATGAAAAGTCTCCCATGTATACTTCTTTCTACACAGACACAGCAACCATCCGATTTCTCAATCTTTTCCCCACCTTTCCCCCCTTTCTATTCCACAAAACCGCCATCGTCATCATGGCCCATTCTCAATGAGCTGTTGGGTACACCTCCCAGACGGGGTGGTGGCCTGGCAGAGGGGCTCCTCACTTCCCAGTAGTGGCGGCCAGTCAGAGGCGCCCCTCACCTCCCGGACGGGGCAGCTGGCCGGGCGGGGGGCTGACCCCCCCACCTCCCTCCCGGACGGGTTGGCTGCCGGGCGGAGAGGCTCCTCACTTCCCAAACGGGGTGGCTGCCGGGCGGAGGGGCTCCTCACTTCTCAGACGGGGCGGCTGCCGGGCGGAGGGGCTCCTCACTTCTCAGACGGGGCGGTTGCCAGGCAGAGGGTCTCCTCACTTCTCAGACGGGGCGGCCGGGCAGAGACGCTCCTCACCTCCCAGACGGGGTCGCGGCCGGGCAGAGGCGCTCCTCACATCCCAGACGGGGCGGCGGGGCAGAGGCGGTCCCCACATCTCAGACGATGGGCGGCCGGGCAGAGACGCTCTTCACTTCCTAGATGTGATGGCGGCCAGGAAGAGGTGTTCCTCACTTCCTAGATGGGATGGCGGCCGGGCTGAGACGCTCCTCACTTTCCAGACTGGGCAGCCAGGCAGAGGGGCTCCTCACATCCCAGACGATGGGCGGCCAGGCGGAGACGCTCCTCACTTCCCAGATGGGGTGGCGGCCGGGCAGAGGCTGCAATCTCGGCATTTTGGGAGGCCAAGGCAGGCGGCTGGGAGGTGGAGGTTGTAGCGAGCCGAGATCACGCCACTGCACTCCAGCCTGGGCACCATTGAGCACTGAGTGAACGAGACTCCCGTCTGCAATCCCGGCACCTCGGGAGGCCGAGGCTGGCGGATCACTCGCGGTTAGGAGCTGGAGACCGGCCTGGCCAACACAGCGAAACCCCATCTCCACCAAAAAAAATACGAAAACCAGTCAGGCGTGGCGGCGCGTGCCTGCAATCGCAGGCACTCCGTGAAGACTGTTCTTGAGAGAGGAAGAAAATGGGAGCCCCTACAACTTCCTGCCCCTACATGGCGTTGTCAACATTAAATGATTCATATTGTCCAGGGGGTATGCTGAAATAAGTGCAATTATTATCCTCCCAATAAGTGCAACTATTATCCACCCAGCACAAAGCCCATGAAAGAGTCTTGTCTTTTTTCGCATTCCCGTCTTTTCTTCTAGTTTTGTTATCTTGTTGGCATTATGTCAGCCGCTGAAGCTTTTACTGTGCTGCAGCCATGGCTTTTCTTTTTTTAACTTTTATTTTAAGTTCGGGGGTTCATATGCAGGTTTGTTACATAAGTAAATGTGTGTCATGGGGGTTTTTTTGTACAGGTTATTTCGTCACCCAGCTATTAAGCCTAGTACCCATTAGTTATTTTTCCTGATCCTCTCCCTCCTCCCACCCTCCACCCTCTGATAGGCCCCAGTGGGTGTTGTTCCCCTCTATGTGTCCCTGTGTTCTCATCATTTAGCTTCTACTTATAAGCGAGAACATGCGGTATTTGGTTTTCTGTTCCTGCATTAGTTTGCTAAGAATAATGGCCTCCAGCTCCATCCATGTCCCTGCAAAGGACATGATCTTGTTCTTTTTGTATGACTGCATAGTAGTCCATGATGTATATATACCACATTTTCTTTATCCAGTCTATCGCTGATGGGCATTTAGGTTGATTCCATGTCTTTGCTATTGTGAATACCACTGCAATGAACACATGCATGCATTTTTTTTTTTTTTTGAGATGGAGTTTTGCTCTTGTTGCCGAGGCTAGAGTGCAATGGTGCGATCTCACTCACTGCAACCTCTGCCTCCCGGGATCAAGCGATTCTCCTGCCTCAGCCACCCCAGTAGCTGGGATTACAGGCATGTGGCGCCACGCCCATATAATCTTGTATTTTTAGTAGAGACAGGGGTTTCTCCATATTGGTCAGCCTGGTCTCGAACTCCTGACCTCAGGTGATCCACCTGCCTCAGCCTCCCAAAGTGATGGGATTACAGGCATGAGCCACCGTGCCTGGCCACGTCCATGTGCTTTTATAACAGAATGATTTATATTCCTTTGGGTATATACCCAGTAATGGGATTGCTGGATCAGATGGTATCTGTCTTTAAGTCTTTGAAGAATCACCACAGTGTCTTCCACAATGACTGAACTAATTTATACTCCCACCAACAGTGTATAAGCATTCTTTTTTCTCCACAACCTCGCCAGCATCTTTTATTTTTTGACTTTTTAATAATAGCTGTTCTGACTGGCGTGAGATGATATCTTATTGTGGGTTTTTGTTTGTTTGTTTTGAGATGGAGTTTCGCTCTTATTGCCCAGGCTGGAGTGCAATGGCACAATATCATTGTGGTTTTGATATGCGTTTCTCTAATAATCAATGATGTTTAGCTTTTTAAAATATGTTTGTTGGCCACATGTATGTCTTCTTTTGGGAAGTGTCTGTTCATGTCCTTTGTCCACTTTTTGATGGAATTGTTTGCTTTTTTAAAATAAATTTGTTTAAGTTCCTTATAGATGCTGAATATGAGCCCTTTGTCAGATGCATAGTTTGCAAAAATTTTCTCCCATTCTGTAGGTTGTCTGTTTACTCTGTTGATAGTTTCTTTTGCTGTGCAGAAGCTCTTTCGTTTAGTTAAATCCCATTTTCAATTTTTCCTTTTGTTGCAATTGCTTTCAGAATCTTCGTCATGAAATTTTTGCCCATGCCTATGTCCTGAATGGTATTACCTAGGTTGTCTTCCAGGGTTTTATAGTTTTGGGTTTTACATTTAAGTCTTTAATCCATCGTGAGTTAATTTTTGTGTAAGGTGTAAAGAAGGGGTCCAGTTTGAATTGTTTGCATATGGCTAGCCTGTTATCCCAGCACCGTTTATTGAACAGGGAATTCTTTCCCCATTGTTTGCTTTCGTCAGGTTTGTTGAAGATCAGATAGTCGTGGGTGCGTGGTCTTATTTCTGTGTTTTCTATTCTGTTCCACTGGTGTATGTGTCTGTTCTTGTACCAGTACCATGTTGTTTTGGTTTGCAGTAATGTCTTATGGTATTGGGTGCTCATCTATGGAATGGAGATGGGCCATCAATCCTCAGAAGATGCAAGGCCCAGAGCCCACAGTGAAGATTTTTTGTTTGTTTGTTTTGTTTTGTTTTGTTTTGTTTTGAGACGGAGTCTCGCTCTGTCACCCAGGCTGGATTGCAATGGTGCGACCTTGTCTCACTGCCACCTCCGCCTCCTGGGTTCAAGCGATTCTCCTGCCTCAGCCTCCCGAGTAACTGGGACTACAGGCACCTGCCACCATGCCCAGCTAACTTTTGTATTTTTAGTAGAGATGGGGTTTCACCATATTGGCCAGGCTGGTCTCGAACTCCTGACCTTGTGATCCGCCCACCTTGGCCTCCCAAAGTGTTAGGATTACAGGTGTGAGCCATTGCACCCGGCCCACAGTGAAGTTTTTAGGGGTTACATGGTTGGGTAACACTCCTTTGATACTGGGTGCAATAATTGACAAAGCCCAACAATGTCAACTCCAGAAACAGTCAAAGAAATCCAAACATTTGTGGGTCTTTTGGGTTATTGGAGAGTATGCATCCCATACTTAGCACAGTTTTTGAGATCCCTATACAGACTTATCAGAGAAAGGGCACATTGGGCCTGGGACACACCACAGCAGGAAGCTTTGAACAGGCTGAAGTGTTGGTACAGCAGGCACAGGCCTTAGGCACCCCTTTGGAGGGTACAGCTAGGACTTTGGATGTTACTGCTGCTCCTGAGGATATGAGTGGGGCCTTATGGCAACCGCAGTCTAGGGAATCAGTCCTTTTAAGAAAGGAGCCAAAACCAGATACTCTCCTGTTGAACAAGAAGTGCTAGTAGTAGAGAATGCTTTACAGCAGGTGGAATTGCTAACAAAGACCCTTCCCATGACTGTGAGAATAGGTCTACCAATCAAGGGATGGTTAGAAGGATTTTTAAACAACCCACCTCCGCTGTAGCCCCAACACCTACCTTGAATAAATGGCATGATTATTTGCAACAAGGAAGAATGCTAGCAATGAGTCCCTTAAGCCCAGAATTACATACTGCATTAGGCTCTGTTATGACGTGAACAAACAAAGGATACCACCTGACCCTCTCCAACTCCAGCACCTGACATGGTAAGCATCCAGATGATGCTTGGTGTACAGAGGACTCCAGCAGGGGAAACCGCTGTTCTTGGACCGCTGTTGCTACACAGCCACAAACTGATACAATCTGGTTTGATACAGGTGGGCATCAGAGGAGCCACTGGGATGAGTTGCAAGCAGCCTGGTTAATAGTCACATATGAGCCTGGCCCCTGGTTCTTTGCACTGATAGCTGAGCTGTATTCAAAGGCCTAATTATGTGGCTGGCTCAACAGGAACTAGAAAAGTGGATGATTATGCACAAACCTATATGGGGCATGAACATGTGGCAAGACATACGGAAAAAGCCGCAAAGCCTTGTGGCTGATTTAACTGTATTTCAGGTGACTGCACATAAAAACCACTCAGTTCCACAAAACATGGAAGCTAAAACCCTAAAAAAAATTAGAAGCATCATGCCAGCTCAGGCCTCTGAACTATTGACCTGGGTACATAACAAAAGTGGTCACAGAAGTGCAAGAGTAGGCTGGGAGACAGTCAAGGAAGCAGGATTACTCTTAAAATGTAGTGACCAGGCTGGGCACGGTGGCTCATGCCTGTAATCCCAGCACTTTGGGAGGCCGAGGCGGGCAAATCACCTGAGGTTGGGAGTTCGAGACCAGCTTGACCAACATGGAGAAACCTGTCTCTACTAAAAATACAAAATTAGCTGGGCGTGGTGGCATGCACCTGTAATCCCAGCTACTCAGGAGGCTGAGGCAGGAGAACTGCTTGAACCCGGGAGGTGGAGGTTGTAGTGAGCCGAGATCACGCCATTGCACTCCAGCCAGGGCAATAAGAGCAAAACTCCGTCTCAAAAAAAAAAAAAAAAAATATATATATATATATATATATATATATATAGTGACCTAGTCCTGGTACAGTGGCTCACACATGGGGAGGCCATGGTGGGACGATTGCTTGGGGCCAGGAGTTTGAGTCCAGCCTGGGCAACATATCGAGATCCCATCTCCACAACAACAACAAAAAATATATAGTGCCTTCCCAACAGCTCTTACAAATTGTTTACCATGTTCTCTATTGTAGATCATATTGAGCAGGACACATTCAGATATTCAGAAGGCTGTCCACCATGTAACAGATTGGCAAGTGGATTATTTAGATACTGTCCCTGTAAGCCAAGGAAATAAATACATGTTAACCTGCATGGACACCGCTACTGGACTGCTGCAAGATTCTCCCTATAAGCAAGCTAATCAAGCCAGTACTATTAAAGGCTTAGAGGCTCTCAGTACTATGTATGGATATATCTGGCACATTGACAGTGACCGAGGGACCCATTTCGCTGGATATGACATGCAGGACTGGGCCAGGAAACATGATACACTATGGCACTTTTATCTCCCATAGAACCTCCAAGCAGCAGGGTTAATTGAAAGAAATACCAGTCTGTTGAAAGCACAAATTCAAACTCTAATTTGGGAAACCTACCTTGCATAGGCAGATGAATGTGTTATCTCCAACCTTTATTTCTTTAAATTCAGCCAAAGCAGGGACGCCTGCCCCATGTGACCGTCTAGGACAACGGTCCCCCAAGCCTACCACTGTTCCCATAGGGGTAATTGAGACGACTGCTTTGCTTGCTCCCAGACCTCATTGACAACCAGTGTCTTTTGCACATGAAGATGCCAGCAGATATACTACCGAGGAGGAAACACACCGAGCTTGGAACGACAAATAGCCCCAGGCTGGATAGGCTATTTCCTGCTAGAGAGTGACAACACCCTAAATAAAGAACAAAACAACCTGATACCCAAAAACAGGCTGGGTTTATTTGGTTAATTCCGTCTTTTGGCCATGTTAGTCAACTTGCTCCTCAGTCTTGGGAACAAATGAATCATTCTAAAGATACTTGGCCAAATTGCACAAGGGATATGTGATGGATAGCAAGAGACTGATTTTTATATACTATGCTATAATATAATAAAATACTCATTGGGCATGTTACAGAACGGACACTGTGTGCAGGAATCTTTTGGTTGGCCCCAAATGGAACTTCCTGGATATGTGGTACCAATTTATGGCCTTGGTTACCCCCTGCATGTTTAGGAAGATGTTCTTTGGATTATACACGGGCACAGACTGAATAGTTCACACACTACAAAGCCTATCAATCTCCCTCATTTGAAATCCCACTGGTTCTGATCTGTTTTTTATTGGTATGATTGTTTGGCCTCCATTTGTCTTCCTCATCCGGTTATTGAAGATATTATCTGGCATATAGAAACTCTATAAAGCCTGTAATCCCTGCACTTTGGGAGGCCAAGGCAGGTGGATCAGTTGAGGTCGGGAGTTCGAGATCAGCCTGGCCAACACGGTGTAACCCCATCTCCACAAAAAATAACAAAATTAGCTGGGCGTGGTGGCGCATGCCTGTAATCCCAGTTACTTGGGAGGCTGAGGCAGGAAAATTGCTTGAACCTGGGAGGTGGAGGTTACAGTGAGCCAAGACCGTGCTACTGCACTCCTGCCCAGGTGATAGAGCGAGACTCTGACTCAAAAAATTAAAAAAACAAACTCTACAAAAAATAAAAAAAAAGAAAACTTTAAATGATAGCTGCATGGGAATCTCTCTTTTAAACATGGAAGTCACTGTCATGAGAAAGTCTGTCCTCCCAAATTACCAGGCTTTACATATACTCACGCTGCACAACGGGGCACTTGTGCAATTGGAAAAACTGCTGTGTTTATATTCCTGATGAATCAGTTAATATCGCTAAATTAATGACTGATATAAAAGCCCACATAACCAAGCTCTCAGACCCCTACTTTGAATAATTGGCTTCACAGCTGGTTTGGGTCCTGGGGCACCTGGTGGCATAAGCTGCTTCTTGGTTTAGGTGCTGTACTCGTACGTTCCTTACTGTCTTGTTTGAGCCTTTACTGCTGCTGTGTTATCTGCCTCCAGTGGAGCCAACGCACTGCTGCTAAAGCTATGCACTATCAAGGGTCCTCCCTTTAGGCCCAGGGACTATCATGGAAGAGATGAGCACGTGAAATTGTCAGGGCCAGTTTTGAGAGGTGGAGTGTAGGAATACAGCCTGTTGCACGGCAACAGGGACGCCATTTTGAAGCAAAGCTGCCATTGAGAGGTGACAGGGTGCTGGAAGTCCGCACAGCCCTTGCTCGCTCTCAGCGCCTCCTCTGCCTGGGCTCCCACTTTGGCGGCACTTGAGGAGCCCTTCAGCCCACCGCTGCACTGTGGAAGCCCCTTTCTGGGCTGGCCAAGGCCGGAGCCCACTCCCTCAGCTTGCAGGGAGGTGTGGAGGGAGAGGTGCGAGCGGGAACCGGGGCTGCACGCGGCGCTTGCGGGCCAGCTGGAGTTCCGGGTGGGCGTGGGCTTGGCTGGCCCTGCCGGTCCTGGGCAATGAAGGGCTTAGCACCCGGGCCAGCAGCTGCGGACGGTGTACTGGGTCCCCCAGCAGTGCCAGCCCGCCGGCGCTGCACTCGATTTCTCACCAGGCCTTAGCTGCCTTCCCGCGGGGCAGGGCTTGGGACCTGCAGCCCGCCATGCCTGAGCCTCCCACCCCCTCCATGGGCTCCTATGCGGCCCGAGCCTCCCCGACGAGTGCCACCCCCTGCTCCAGGGCGCCCAGTCCCATCGACCACCCAAGGGCTGAGGAGTGCAAGCGCACGGCGCAGGACTGGCAGGCAGCTCCACCTGCAGCCCCGGTGCGGGATCCACTGGGTGAAGCCAGCTGGGCTCCTGAGTCTGGTGGGGATGTGGAGAACCTTTATGTCTAGCTCAGGGATTGTAAATACACCAATCCGCACTCTGTATCTAGCTCAAGGTTTGTAAACACACCAATCAGCACCCTGAGTCTAGCTCAGGGTTCGTGAGTTCACCAATCGACACTCTGTATCTAGCTGCTCTGGTGGGGCCTTGAAGAACCTTCGTGTCCACACTCTGTATCTAGCTAATCTGGTGGGGACGTGGAGAACCTTTGTGTCTAGCTCAGGGATTGTAAACGCACCAATCAGCACCCTGTCAAAACAGACCACTCGGCTCTACCAATCAGCAGGATGTGGGTGGGGCCAGATAAGAGAATAAAAGCAGGCTGCCCCAGCCAGCAGTGGTAACCCGCTCTGGTCCTTTTCCTGACTGTGGAAGCTTTGTTCTTTTGCTCTTTGCAATAAATCTTGCTACTGCTCACTCTTTGGGTCCATGCTGCTTTTGTGAGCTGTAACACTCATCGTGAAGATCTGCAGCTTCATTCCTGAGCCAGCGAGACCACAAACCCACCAGAAGGAAGAAACTGTGAACACATGCGAACATCGGAAAGAACAAGCTCCAGACGCGCCACATTAAGTGCTGTAACAGTAACCGTGAGGGTCTGCGGCTTCATTCTTGAAGTCATTGAGACCAAGAAGCCACCAATTCTGGACACATCATGATGACCAGTGGTCCACTTTTGCATAGCAAAGTGCACTGCAGCACAGTCTTCAAACAATGCCTGCTGCATAAATAACCCTTCACAAACATGCTTCTTTAACCTCCGGAGTGGTTATGGGTTTTGGCAAGAAAGTCTGAGATGTGACCAGCTGCATATATTTTACCCTAAGACCTTGCTATAGAAAGGATGTTTTCTGGAGTGTCCATCGTCTTGCAGCTCTCCCAGACGTGGCTTCTGTTGCTTAGTCCTTGTTCAAAATTTCTTTTGGAGAAACTGGATTTGTTAGCCACTTATTTCATTCAGCCTTTGTTCCATAAAAGGGTCATACATGTAAAGTGGCTCCCAAACGCTGAAGGAGCCGAGAAACCAAAAACAAGGCAGATAGATCCAGTTTGTCAGTAAATGGTGATTTGCTGGGGAATTTACAGACAGAAGTGTAGTCTTGGGTGGCAGCAAGTCAGGTAGATCTCCACACCTGTTACCCCCAGACCCAGGGCTTACCCCAGAAAGGGTGTATACTTCCTGTAGAGACAATTAAAAGCAACCTTTCAGAACAGGCAGGAATGCTATGTGCGTCGTAGCCTGTAATTTATGCCATAATATCAAGGTTGCTTTGATCTAAAGGCAGGGGCTGGATGTGGTGGCTAATGCCTGTAATCCCAGAGCTTTGGGAGGGAGAGGAGGGAGGATTGCTTGGGGGCAGGAGTTTGAGACCAGTCTGGGAAACAAAACAACACCTCATCTCTACAAAAAAGAAAACCAAAATTAGTTGGGAGTGGTAGCATGTGCCTGTGGTCCCAGCTACTTGGGAGGCTGAGGCAGGAGGATCATTACAGCCCAGGAGTTAGAGGCTGCAGTGGGCTGAGATTGCACCACTGAACTCCAGCCTAGGTGACAGAGCAAGACCCTGTCTCTAAAAACAAAACAACAAACAAAAAACGAAGACAGGATTTACAGTAAGTACATGTCCTTACCAAGAACAGTAAATAAAGTAGGAATGAGGCCCATGTGACTCATGGGACCTGGGTTAATCAGAAGTCAACATGGCAGATTAGCATCCAAGATGGAGTCACTTTGTCTCCACAGCCTCTCAGCTCCCTCAGTCTTTGGGGGAAGGTTTGCATGCCCCTGCTCACTGAGGAACAGAGAGGCCACGCTGAGCCATATGCAGGCAATCATCATCATCTGCTCACTTAAAGGGATCCAGAAACCAGAAGGGAAAGACAAGTTGAACACCCTGAAAAGGTGCCTCCCACTGATAGGAACTGTGGAAACCCTTATGTGGAAAAGCATGAAAAGAAATAAGATCAGGCAAGGGTGTCCAGCTAGATCATTTTTTAAAAAAATAGTAAAACATGTATTTTCAAATTTTAATAGACAAATTGAAAGAGGCTGGCCATTATAGAGAATTATGCTAGTAATCCGGAAGAGCAAGCGCGAAAAATAACTCAAACAGACACAATTATACAGGAATAAAAATCACCCGGCAAATATAATACATTTGGAGGATAGATCCAGGAAGACTAACGTGCAAGTAATAAGGCTCAAAACAGAGAAAAAGAGACGAAATGGAAGAGAAGAATTAGAAGGGAAAAAAGAAGAGCTGGAATAGAGAAAAAAGATTTGAGTCTGTCTATGAAAAGCTTCACCAAGTACAACTCTGTAAATATACTAAAAAACACTGGTTTATTTATTTATTTATTTTAGACGGAGTCTTGCTCTGTCGCCCAGGCTGGAGTGCAGTGGCGTGATCTCAGCTCACTGCAACCTCCACCTTCCAGGTTCAAGTGATTCTCCTGCTTCAGCCTCCCGAGTAGCTGGGATTACAGGTGCGTGCCACCACACCCAGCTAATTTGTGTGTGTGTGTGTATTTTTAGTAGAGATGGGGTTTCACAATGTTGGCCAGGCTGGTCTCGAACTCCTGACCTCAGGTGATCCACCCACCTTGGACTCCCAAAGTGCTGGGATTACAGGCATGAGCCACTGCACCCGGCCTAAAACCACTGGTTTATATACTTTATTTTATTCTTATTATTTTTTTAAATTTGAGATGGAATCTCACTCTGTCACCAAGGCTGGAGTGCAGTGGCGCAATCTCGGCTCACTGCAACCTCTGCTTCCTAGGTTTAAGAGATTCTCCTCCCTCAGCCTCCCAAGTAGCTGGGATTATAGGCGAGTGCCACCATGCCTGGCTAATTTTTGTATTTTTAGTAGAGATGGGGTTTCACCACTGTTGACCAGGCTAGTCTTGAACTCCTAACCTCAGGTGATCCACCCATCTCAGCCTCCCAAAGTGCTGGGATTAGAGGCATGACCCACCTTGCCCAGCCAGGTTTATATACTTTAAACAGGTGAACTATATGGTATGTAAATTATAGCTCAATACAGCTCTTAAATTTTTACCAGGCACATTATGTAAATAAAAATTTTTATTTCCTGGCCGGACATGGTGGCTCACACCTGTGATCCCAGCATTCTGGGAGGCTGAGGCAGGCAGATCACTTGAGGCCAGGAGTTTGAGACCAGCCTGGCCAACATGGCAAAACCCTGTCTCTACTAAAAATACAAAAATTAGCCATGCGCGGTGGTGCGCGCCTGTAGTCCCAGCTACTTGGAAGGCTGAGGCAGGAGAATCACTTGAACCTGGGAGGTGGACGTTGCAGTGAGCTGAGATCATGTCACTGCACTCTAGCCTGGGTGACAGAGTGAGACTCTGTCTCAAATTTAAAAAAATTATTTCCAAAAATAAACAACAAATGACTCAAATGAATGGGCATTTTGAGCTAGAGGAAGGAGAAAAGGGGGGAGTCCCTGGTGAGCAATTTACCTTGTGATTGATTCACATAGTTGTGCTGTGAGTATCTCATTACTCCCAGCAACTGGGGTGTGCAGGTAGAGTTTGGAAGCATCATTACCCAGCTTTCGTCATGGAATACACCTACTCCTGTAATGTGACAAAGCCCCAGCCCACCAAGCATGCGTGACCCAAGCAAAAGTCCAGGAAGTGGACAGGGTTAAAGGGCTGCCCATCTAGACCTGTGCCTTTGCACTGTGGATTTAGCACAATGATCTTCACGTGGCATCTGTGCCCCCACATCTTGGGCGTACATAAAGACTTCCTGAAGAGTATTATGCAGGCGTGGGTTGTTTGATGGGAACCATTTTCCAGATCTTCAACTTCCGTATGTGCTTGTGGCCTAGAACTGATCTGTCTGAGGGCACCTCTGTGGTCAGGGCTACACTTTTCTGACTCTTCTTTGATGAACATCCAACATTTCCTCTGTAGCTCCCATATTATTATTACCACATTTCCGCAGGGTGTAGAACATTTCAGGGTGTCAAATAAAGCCTTTTAGTGAAGGGATACCTCAAAAACCACCTCTAATTTAGGGATCATATACCCAGAGTAGGACTTCCTGTTTTCTCCTGCCTCATATAAATTCCTGTGAAGGGCTACGTGGAGTGTAAGGAACTGGTAATTTTGGCATGTGTTAAGGTGTTATTTACGCAGATACACTGTAGAATGAAGTAACAGGAGTAATAAAAACTTCTTTTTTTCCTTTCTTTTTTTTTTAACAATCTCTTCTCTTCCATCCACTCTTTAAAAATGCATCCCTCTTGAGGGAGTATCTCATGAGATTGGAGCAAGAGCAGAATCAGCAGAAAGAATAGAGGAGGCAGTGGCTTATTTAACCAAGGAGAAAAATCCCATGGCAGCCAACCCACCTTATCTGTCTGTCTGCCTATTTTAGAATATTCAAGATTTGTCAACAACTTGCTGGGACAAAGCAATGTGCTATGAAGCACACTTCCCTGAATTGTACACCATTTTCTGTAAGGGGAAAGAGCTTCCTGTTCACTAGTTTCTTGGTTTAGGTAACAATTGTGTATTTGGCATGATTTCAAGGAGAAAGATGTTGTAAGCTCCAACTGATTAATGTTACACCTTAAGATAAAAGACACTTAGAGAGGCCATACGGCATGTCAGCTAAGAGCACAGATTGTGGAGCTCGAATTTCTGGTTTCAAATCCAATTTCATTGTGACTTTCCACAAATTCCTTAATTCTTCTGGGTCTCAGTTTCCATATTTGTAAACATGAGAGTGAAAATAGTACCCACTTCATGGGGTTATTGTGAAGCCTTAGAATAGTCCTGCATTTCGTAAGCGCTCTGTAAGTTGTGTTATTTTTAAAATGTTAGGTAAGTGGGCCAAGCGAGGTGGCTCATGCCTGTAATTTCAGCACTTTGGGAGGCGGAGGCGGGTGGATCACCTGAGGTCAGGCTTTTGAGACTAGCCTGACCAACATGGTGAAACCCCATCTCTACTAAAAATACAAAAACTAGCTGGCGTGGTGGCAGGCACCTGTAGTCCCAGCTACGTGGGAAGCTGAGGCAAGAGAATAGCTTGAACCTGGGAAGTGGAGGTTGCAGTGAGCCGAGATTGCACCACTGCACTCCAGCCTGGTCGACAGAGCGAGACTCCGTCTCAAAAAAATGAAAAATAAAAAATGTTAGGTAAGTTAATGATTCATATTTTCTTGAAAATATGGAAAGACGTATCATAAGAGAAGCATTTTTGCTTAATTCACCAAAAAGTTACTGGGGGCTATAAATTGAACACAGAGTCTTACAAGGCACAGGAAATTTTTTAGACGTTTATAAACATATCTTTTGATGCAGAGGAGTATGACAGGGTGATCAATAAAAGCTTTTCAAGCAAAAAATTATTACAGACCATATGACATCCCAGAAAAGACAAAACTATAAAGGCAGTCAAGAGTCAATGGTTGCCAGGGGTTACGAGGGTGGGGTGATGAATAGGTGGAGCACAGAGGATTCTTAGGGCGTGAAACTACTGTATATGATACTACAATGGTGGATGCCTGTCATTGTACATTTGTCAAAACCCATAGAATATACAAGAGTAAACCCTGACGTCAACGAGGTGGGGAGGTTGTGCTTGCGTAGGGGCAGGGAGTCTATGGGACCTCTGTACTTACCACTTAATTTTGCTGTGAACCCAAAACTGCTCTAAGAGATAAGGTTTATTAATTAGACATACTGTGATATATGTATAGCAGTAGAATATTTATGTTACTGGTATTTAATATGATATATGGAGAGAGACCAGTAGAATAATATGGGGAAAGTAAAATGGAACTATAAGTTCGTAGAGCAGGAGGAACCATTTAAAAACCTAGACTATTGAGGAAGAGCTTGCTTATATGTTATTCAAAAGGATAATGGAAGCTAGGTGCAGTGGCTCACGTCTGTAATCCCAGCACTTGGGGAGGCTGAGGCGGGAGGATTGCTTGAGCCCAAGAGTTCAACACCAGCCTGAGCAATATAGTGAGACCCCCCACATCTCTTAAAGTAAAATAAAATTTAAAAAAAGGATAATGATGAGTATTGAGATGCTGCTAGTGTTTAGAGTCTACTGGAAACATTTTAAAGAGTAGTAAAAACTTTTATTATTTCAATGTCTACATTTACAATATGGTAGAAATTACATTCTTTGCAATAATTAAATGTATGATAAAAAATTTAGATTAAACATAGACAGAGGAGGGAAAACAGCTTTTCAAAATTGTTTTTGAACGTATACACAACAGAAAATTTGAAGATGGGCACTCAAGCACATAGGACATTTCTACACAAATGGTGGCTCCAGATAGCTGAAGAAGCTTAAGCAGCTGTAGGAGAGATCTCCAAATCCAGGGACAGTGGCTGCCATCAGAGTGGTCCGTTTGTGGGAAAATGGGTCACAGACATAGACCATATCAGGCTATATTTCACAGAAAATCTTCTTCTTTTTGTTACTTTCTGATGAACTATATGCTATATGGAAGGTACCATTGAGACTCCTTGTGATGAAAATAACTCTACTTGAATTGGGGGTAAACTAAAATTAGAAGGGAAAGCAGACCCCTTGTCCAGCCAGGTTGAAGAAAATCTAAGCCGGTACAGGGTGAGGTTGAGAGAGATGGCAGCGAGAATCTGGAACACAGGCCTTTCCTAAATCAAACTTTCAGCACAGGTCATTCAAGGGCGAATTTCAAATCTATGCTATGTTTATAAATTGTGTACTCTACGTAATTGCCGAGTCCCTGGAATTCCCTACTCTGTGCGAAACTAATCTCTTACTCTCTAAAACAAACCCAAGTCCTAAGCCCACAACCCCTGTTTGCTCTTTCCTTCCTAGTCATCAGAACCCTCATGACTCAGACTCTCCAAGGAGGCATTTAAAAAAATGTTCTCGGACCAGTCAGCTCCACTCGAGCAACCTGCTCTTAACTCATTAATTTTCCCGACATGTCCCTTATGATGACTCGTCCATCTGTTTTTCAAATTCCACATAGCTGGGCCTCTGTAGCTTTGTGGTTTTATATTCCGCATACTTTCTAACAGTGACAGCTCCAGAATTTCTATGTCAGATGAAGTTGGGAACAGGCAGTCTGGTTGGAGGAAGATATTCAGGGGCCAGACTCAAAGTCCTGTTTGGACATGACAACCTCCTTTTATAATGGCGAAGAGCACAGGCTCTGCAGCTGGACTGATAGTTTAATTCCTGACTCCATCACTTACTAACTTTGTGAGTTTGGCCAAATTACTTGACTTCTCCATGGTTTAGTTTCCTTATTTGTAAAATGAAGACAATGGTAGTACTGTGTCTCAGAGTCGTTGGATGCCAATGCAGGATCCCAGTGACCAGATGGAACGAGAGGGAGCTCAGGAGAGACCAGCTTGAAGGGCCGAAGTCTTGTTCCCACATTGCCAGTAGGAGGCATAAATTCCCCCTCAGAGGACGTGCAGGAAAGAAGTGGAGGGGAGAGCCCTTGAAATGGGGGGAAAACAGTCCTGAGAGGGGCATTAAATTTCATATGGCCAAGTATTTACCCAAAAGAGACCTGAAACATTGTTTTCTTTTTCTTTCTTTTTTTTTTTTTTTGAGACGGAGTCTCACTCTGTCACCCGGGCTGGAGTGCAGTGGTGCGATCTTGGCTCACTACAACCTCTGCCTCCCGGGTTCAAGCAATTCTCCTGCCTCAGCCTCCCAAGTAGCTGGGATTACAGGCACCCGCCACTACGCCCAGCTAATTTATTTTTATTTTTATTTTTATTAGAGATGGGGTTTCACCATGTTGATCAGGCTGGTCTCAAACTCCTAACCCGCCCACCTTGGCTTCCCAAAGTGTTGGGATTACAGGCGTGAGCCACCAAAATTTTTTTCTTTCTTATTGTTTTTAATTCTCCCCCCAAGCTTACTGAGGTAAAATAGACAAAAATTATATGTTTTCAGCGTGTACAATGTGTTGATTTGATGAGTATACATTGTGAAATAATTACCACTATCAAACTAATGAACACATCACCAACACATATTTACCATTTCTTTTCTGTGTGTGTTAGCAAATTTCAGATAGACAATACAATATTGTTAATTATAGTCTCCATGTGATTAAAGTTCCAGAACTCATTCTTCTTATAACTGAAAGTTTGTACCCTTGACTGTTGTTTTTAATCTTTAAATTGAGGCTTAAAATATATGCAGTAAAATGTGCAGAGTGGACACATAAGTGCTCAAGTCGTTGAATTTTATTTAATTCTTTAATGTATTTATTTTAAAGAAATAGAGACAGGGTCTTGCTATGTTGCCTAGACTGCTCTTGAACTCCTGGGCTCACACAATCCTCCCACCTCAGCCTCTCAAGGTGTTGGGATTACAGGCATGAGCCACCGCACCCGGCCAATTGTTGAATCTTAACACATGCATACACTCACCTACCCACTTTCCAGATCAAGATGTGCCACATTCTTATCACCCCAGAAGCCTCCCCTGCCTCCTCCCCATCAGTGCCACCCTAGAGGTAGCCAGTATTTTGACTTTAATCATCATCAGTTGATTTTTCCATGTACTTGACTTTCATATAATTAGAACCATACAGTATGCCTTCCAAAAGAGACACTTTTAAAAGAAAATGAAATTTCATCACCAATATTTGGCAAGCTTATACCCGTATCCTCATTTCCAACCCCAGGCTTCCCTGCCATTGGTGGGAAAGAGAGTCTGGAAACTGAGTTGGGTGAGTTATAGCAAGCCAAACTACATTTTTCCTTGCATATCTGAATTACACGGGGTAAATTTCAATCAACTGCTAGTTGTGAGCCTAGAAATAGGGACGCAGGTGAGTCAGGGTCCCTGACCTATGCTTAAGAGCCATTGCCAAAGATTGACTCAGGGAAATGGGTAGTTCCGTGCCCCATCCTCTTCCCTACTCACTTCCGCTTGATACTAGAAGTGAGACTCACTCAGTGTCCACTTTCCCCACCCTTGGAGAGCTCACAGGGAGTGGAGTGTATCACTCACGTAGCCATGTGCTGCTCTGCAGCTGGGAAGGAGCACTCTGGAGAAAGCCGGGCGTGTGTCCTGATGCTCTTATCACCCTCCAAATCCCCAGCTTCCCCTAGATAGACTGCTATTGACCTTTACCATCCATTTGTTTCCTTTTCTTCTCTTCTTCCTTCTTTCTTCTACAAAGGCCTCCTGCTTTGAAAATGAGGCATACCCAGGGAAAACAGGTTTCAGGTCAGCTCTGGTTCAAAGGGTGGGTCCCTTCCACTCCGACAAGTTTGATCCCCTCATTCTGCCTCCCTCCCTGCCCCTCCTCATGTGTGCGCCCTCTGGTCTTGCCGACTCTGCTCTCTCCTCCGCCTTGATTCCTGTAGGGTACATCTCTCCAAACGGCCCTGCAGAAAGCACAGCGCAGAAATGCCCCTCCCTGGGGAGGGAGGACCCAAAGTTCTGGCCTCCCCTACTCAGTATCAGCTATAAATGCCACAGACACGTTTGCGAGGAAAAAAGAAGAAAAATAAGAAGCCAAACTGTGGAGCAATTTGGGGGCTCCCCCCAACCATGCCATCTGCCTACAAGGCTTACCCTGGCACTGGCTGGCCTTTGGGTCTTTTTGTGCAACTTTATTTTCTATCAAGGCCCAGGGGGTTTGCCCCTTGTCTCTCTGCCTCTTTGACCTATCCTTCCTTTGGAACCCAGGCATCTAAATGACAACTTCTATGTGCATCATTTAGAGATGAGAAGAGGAAATATCTCTCCTGCTTTCTGGTTCCTGTGGCTGCTTCTCTTTGGACTTCTGGGACCCAGTAAGTGACTTAGCAGTTAAGGAGGGAGAGGGGCATGGAGGCCACATAAGCCCTGAAGGAGATGGGGAATCCCCTGCCCAGGCATGACTCTTCTTCCAGAAACAATGATGATTCATTTTTTTTTTTTTTTTTTGCCCATTTCTGCAAAAGCCAGTACTGATCTCAATTCCACTGACCATGATTCTGATGCTGTCTTAGAAGCAAATCTGTATTAGTCTCCCCCAGCTGTGGTTGTGAGCACATGTGGTGGGGCGGTGGGGCGGTGCTGGGGAAATGGAGGGGGGTGAGATTTTACTTTCCTTTGTATCTTGGATAAAAGTTTTTTTTTTAAACCGGAAAACTCTAGTTCCAATAGCATTCTTAATTCCAAATTAAAACCAGGATCTCAGTCTAAAGTCAAGTAAAAATCCTTCAATCCTTCTTTGTTTTTTTTTCCATAGGTTATTTGGGTACAGGTGATATTTGGTTATGTAAGTGCTTTATTGGTGAATTGTGAGATTTTGGTGCACCCGTCACCAAGCAGTATACACTGCACCCACCCTATTTGTAGTCTTTTATCTCTCGTGCCTCCCCCGTCCTTCCTCCCTAGTGCCCAAAGTCCATTGTATCATTCTCATGAGTTTGAGTCCTCACAGCTTAGCTCCCACCTATCAGTGAGAACATACGATGTTTGGTTTTCCATTCCTGAGTAACTTCACTTAGAATAATAGTCTACAGTCTCATCCAGGTCACTGCAAATGCCATTAATTCATTCCTTTTTATGGCTGAGTAGTATTCCATCGTATATATATGCCAGTTTCTTTATCCACCGTTGATTGATGGGCATTTGGGTTCCATGACTTTGCAATTGTGAATTGTGCTGCTATAAACATGTGTGTGCAAGTGTCTTTTTTGTATAATGACTTCTTTTCCTCTGGGTAGATACTCAGTAGTGGGATTACTGGATCAAATGGTAGATCTACTTTTAGTTCTTTAAGAAATCTCCACACTGTTTTCCATAGTGACTGTACTAGTTTACATTCCCACTAGCAGTGTAGAAGTGTTCCCTGATCACTGCATCTACGCCAACATCTACTGTTTTTTGATTTTTTGCTTCAACCCTTCTTCGGATGCTGCCTGATTCCAAATCCATGTATAATCCCCTGAGAACTTCCCTGGTAGAAACAAACCGGAGTTCGGCCACTGAGGGGTTGGCTCTGACATTGGATCAGCAATGGCTGTGAAAGGAAACAGCCCAGGAGAGAAGTGAATTGGGCTCCGTGTGACTCCAATGGGCTGTCTGAGATAGTACTGTTCACTCCAGTCTTTGATTTCTTACATCAACATATCTTCCCTAATTATGAGACACCAGGTTAATTGGCTCATCCATTCCATTGCCTCTACTGTAGGATGGCTCGTCAAGAAGTGGGAGGTGCGGTTGAAAGAGAAGGTATAGGTTGGATGATGTGGAGGATTTGGAGTGCTTCCCCCTTCTTCCTCAGTATGCATCTGTTTCCTGCACCCCACTCTGGATTCGCTCCCTCGCCCGCTTCAGCACTTCCCTCGGCGTTCTTTTTCTTCTCTTTCCCCTTGCCTTCACCCTGAATGCTTCAACTGTTCTCTACCTACCCATGCCTTCCAGATCTGCCCGTCGCCTGTCCTAATCCTGAACTCCAGTCCTATCTGTCTGATTTTAAACAAGAGTCCCCTTACCTCAGAAGAAACTGTCATTCATGTAGTCATTCAACAAACATTTATAGAGCTCCTCCTCTGGGCCAGGCACTGCTGCGTGCTAGGCCATGGTGAGGAATGGAGTGGGAAATGCCATGGTCTTGACCCCCATGGAACACTTGGTCTACTGTAAAACATAGACTTAAATAATATTTCCTAACAAAAGGGAGCAAGTGTGCAAGGGCTGAAAGGCCCCTCCTCTTTTCCTACCACTAGATCTATAAAGTAACCAACAGTGTCTCCTGTAGCCCCATTACAGTGGATTAGCAAGGACCAACTCCTCCATCTGAATGCTGGGCGCCGTCTCAGGGGCTTTGCTCAGTGCATTTCTCCTTCCCCTCCCATCTCACTTTACCTTTCTTGGGTCCTTTCCATCAGCATCCAAACAAGCTCAGTTCTGTATGCACAAGTATCATCCAAGGAGACGATTAAAAACTTGGGTTTCCAGGCCCTGACACCCCACCAAGCAAGATCTTGATTCAGTAAGCTTGGTGGGATGGCGTGGGTTCTTCAGACAGTGTGATCCCAGAGGTCCCTGGACCAAACACTGAATGATGTCCATCCTAACGTCCCCGCATCACTCCTCAGCCACCACCTCTCCCTCCACTCTCCTCCTCACCCCCATTCTTTTTTTTTTTTTTTTTTTTTTGAGACGGAGTCTCGCTCTGTCGCCCAGGCTGGAGTGCAGTGGCGGGATCTCGGCTCACTGCAAGCTCCGCCTCCCGGGTTCACGCCATTCTCCTGCCTCAGCCTCCCAAGTAGCTGGGACTACAGGCGCCCGCCACTACGCCCGGCTAATTTTTTTTTTTTTGTATTTTTAGTAGAGACGGGGTTTCACCGTTTTAGCCGGGATGGTCTCGATCTCTTGACCTCGTGATCCGCCCGCCTCGGCCTCCCAAAGTGCTGGGATTACAGGCGTGAGCCACCGCGCCCGGCCCTTTTTTTTTTTTTTTGGAGATGGAGTGTGGCTCTGTCTCCCAGGCTAGAGTGCAGTGCTGCAATCTTGGCTCACTGCAACCTCTGCCTCCCAGGTTCAAGCGATTCTCCTGCCTCAGCCTCCTGAGTAGCTGGGACTACAGGCGCACACCGCCACGCCCAGCTAATTTTTTGTATTTTAGTAGAGACGGGGTTTCATTGTGTTGCCCAGGCTGGACTCGAACTCCTGAGCTCAGACAATCTACCCACCTTGGCCTCCCAAAGTGCTGGGATTACGGGTGTGAGCCACCGGGCCCGGCCCCTCACCCCCATTCTTGAAGGACTTCCCCACACTTGCTATGTCACTTCTCACCTCCCACTCACTTGTTTATTTTATTTTATTGTATTAGGTAATGGATGTAAGTAGTTCTGAAAAAGAAATACTTGTAGTCCTACAAGGCTTCTCATAAAACTTCAGGCCCTGATTCCCTTGCCCCAATTGCTTCTTATTCTGAGTCCTGCTTCCCAGGGTTCCTGTTGGCATTTACGTTCATACTGCATTTATCTATTTATTTAGAGACAAGATCTCACTCTGTCACCCAGGCGGGAATGCAGAGACACCATCATAGCTCACTGCAGCCTGGTACTCCCGGGCTCAAGGGATCCTCTCACCTCAGCTTTCCAAAGCACTGGGATTACAGGCGTGAGCCATTGCACCCGGCCATAAATTCTCTTACTACCATTACTTCTTTGTTGGTTGAGGTTTTTTGGTTTTTTTTTCCTGCTTTGGGCATGATTTATTGTCTTCCTTCTAATGAAAAGAAAGATTTAGGTTAGACCACTCCCCCTACACACTTACTGTCTCACATTCCTGCTCACAATTCTCCCCAAATGACTGTATCAAATTTTTGGTGTTAAACTAGCATTTAGTGTTTACATTATGATAACTATAAATTTTACCTCTAGTAACATTTATAACTGGGTCATATAATTGCATTGTGATGACATTATAATAAGTATAAATGACCTCTAGTAACATTTATAACTGGGTCATATAATTGCATTGTGATGACCATCCGTTCTTGTAATTTTTGTTTTTCTAGATATTAATAATAGCCTCATTTTTAAAATGTCCATAGTTTTCTTCATATATGTAATTAATTCATCCCAAAACCTCCACCAGAAGTATCCCTGTCTTTTCGATACACATGAGGCAATCTATCAGTTTCACTTTTTTCCCTTGAGCAATCCCATTTAGAAGCCTCTGTCCAACCAGTACTGGTTGCTTGCTAGGTCTCTTGTCCTGCAATCTGTATTCAGCAACATTCTGGAAATTCCCTTTTTTCCCTTGTAAATTCTTATCTTTTTTCTGGCTTTATTTTTCCATCTTGGAGCATCACTTTCTCTAGAAGCTTCCTGAGAGAGAGAGTTTATGGTGGGAAATTATTTTAAAACCTTATGCACTGTTAGGGTAATGCTAAGCTGCTGTAACAAGGAGATCCCGAAAGTGGCTTTGAAAAACAAGTTTATTTTTCTCCCTTGTACCAGTCCTAAGGTAAGTATTATAGGATGGTGGGAGCTCTGCTCCATGCAGTCATTCAGGGATCCTGGGTGAATATGGTTCTTCCATCTTCAACATATGGTTTCCAGTGTCATCATCATTTCAGCCCAAGGAGAGGGAAGAAAAACAGTATTTTGTATTATTTTATGATACAGTCAGTCAAAGTGCAGCCACAAGAGGAGAGGCTTACAGGCCCTAGAGACAGGAGGCATGGCACTGCCATGCGGGACCACCTGAGAAAGACACTAAGGTAGTCAGGAGGCAGAAGACAGGAGTGAAGGAAAGATTTATGTCTTTCCTTTTATTGGGTTTCTGTGGGAAAGGCAAGGAAAGGCAGGGTGAACAGTTTAGGATTGGCTGGTTTGAATAATTCCTGTGTTCTTTGAGCTATATGGCTGATTACCACCTAGTTGCCTAGTACTTGACTTTGGAATGACTAAGGCAGATAAATATTGTTTCCTGGAGTATATGGGCCAGATAGAGGAGCTATGGCTCTGGAATGGTTAGTCTGCATATCAGCTCATGCTCCTGGCTGGGCCCTTTGCTACTTTTAAGAATTGGCTAGCCCTGGAAGGTCCTGTCTCTCCCTAGCTAGAAAAGTTTGTTAAGATGTCAAAACATGATAATATACAGAAATTAAAAATATATATACAAGCAGAAATCAAGGAATAGGTATTTACTCTTAAAGAAATGAAGTGGAAATTAATATGTATTCCTTCCCTTCAGGGGCCTCTGACTAGGGCTTAGACATGTAGCCCTACCTAGCTACAAGAGAGGTTGACAAATATAACTTAGCCATGTGCCCAGGAAGAAGAGAAAAATGGGCCCAGCTGTCCATAGACCTTATACGTCTGAAAATGTCTTATTCCACCCTCACATTTGACTCATAGTTTAGCTGGTTATAGAATTCTAGGATGGATATGATTTTTCTCAGGATTTTAAAGGCGTTGATCCACTATTCCTAGATTCTAGATTGTGAAGTCTGATATTTAGATTACTGACCTCTTGTAAAAGACCCATTCTTTTTCTTCTGGAGGATTTCAGATTTTTAAAACTACTGTTCTAAAATCTCATGATATGGTGTCATAGTATGGATTCTTTCATTGTGTTAGGAATTTGCACAGTAGAAAGTTGTATCAGTCAGTTCTGGGAAATTTTATTGCATTTTTTTTCTTTGATAATTGCCTCTCGTCCATTTTCTCTGTTCCGTCTTTCTGAAAAAATCTTATAATTTGGATGTTTGACCTCCTGGGCTGACACTCTAATTTTCTTATATTTCTTCTTCTGTCTTCCAACTCTGTCGTTTTATTTTTCTTCTGGGGAGATTTCCTCAGCTTCTAAAGTCTTCAAATCCTTCTAGTGAATTTTGAGGTTTTTTTTTTTCAAAGAGATCTTTTTTTTCTCTACAACCATTTTTAAGATGGCATCTCTTACTTTTTTTTTTTGTGGGTGCTATACTTTCTCTTATATTGCTGAGGACATTTGAAGTTGGTTTTGCTGTTTGCATTGTCTCAGTTCTCTCTGGCTTTGCTTCATAGGGATATTTGTTTTGGTCTCTATATTTCAAGCTAGAGATTTTTCTCAAATATCTGGTAATCCCAGAATGTCCTTTGCATTTGAGTGAGGCACTAATATGATGCCTGGAAGCTTTGTGAGCAGGGGTAGGGCCTGTCAACTGGTGGACTTAGCTTTAGGGTAATTTAGCAGAGACGTGGCAGTTTAGATTGGGAAGATCCTCAAAATGTCAGTATCTAGTGTTGGCTAATTTCTTTCCACAAGAAGAATTCTCCAGATCCTGTCTAGAGCATACTAGCATAGCTGCTGAAGTGCTGGAAGCTGAGCAAGGGAATAGGTAATGTGGGTTTTACATTTCAGGGTGTAAGCATTTCCTTAATTGCATAGTTTCAGTAAAACCTTTTGAGAGGGGACAGGGTGCTGGCAGCCCTCGCTCAGTCTCGGAGCCTCCTCGGCCTCGCCACCCATTCTGGCTGTGCTTGAGGGGCCCTTCAGCCCCCCGCTGCACTGTGGGAGACCCTCTCTGGGCTGGCCGAGGCCGGAGCCAGCTCCCTCAGCTTTCAGGGAGGTGTGGAGGGAGAGGCACGGGCGGGAACCCGGGCTGCCTGCGGCACTTGCGGGCCAGCACTAGTTCCAGGTGGGCGTGGCCTCGGGGGGCCCCACACTCTGAGCCTCGGGCTGGCGTGGCCAGCACAGCTGGCCCCAGGCAGTGAGGAACTTAGCAGCCGGGCCAGCAGCTGCGGAGGGTGCGCCAGGTTCCCCAGCAGTGCCGGCGGGTGCTGCGCTCCAATTCTCGCCGGACCTCAGCTGCCTCCCTGAGGGGCACGGCTCGGGACCTGCAGCCCGCCATGCCTGAGCCTCCCCCACGCCGCCATGGGCTCCTGCGCAGCCAGAACCTCCCAGACGAGCGCTGCCCCTTGCTTTGCGGCACCCGGTCCCATAGACTGCCCAAGGGCTGAGGAGTGCTGGCGCACGGCGTGGGACTGACGGGCAGCTCCATCTGCGGCCCGGGTGCGGGATCTACTAGGTGAGGCCAGCTGGGCTCCTGAGTGTAGTGGGGACTTGGAGAACCTTTATGTCTAGCTAAGGGATTGTAAATACACCAATCAGCACTCTGTGTCTAGCTCAAGGTTTGCAAATGCACCAATCAGCACCCTGTGTCTAGCTAATCTGGTGGGGACTCGGAGAATCTTTATGTCTAGCTAAGGGATTGTAAATACACCAATCAGCACTCTGTGTCTAGCTCAAGGTTTGTAAACACACCAGTCAGCACCCTGTGTCTAGCTAATCTGGTGGGGACTTCGAGAATCTTTATGTCTAGCTAAGGGACTGTAAATACACCAATCAGCACCCTGTGTCTCGCTCAAGGTTTGTAAACATACCAATCAGCACCCTGTGTATAGCTCAAGGTTTGTAAATGCACCAATCAGTGCTCTGTGGGGACTTGGAGAACTTTTGTGTCTAGCTCAGGGATTGTAAACACACCAATCAGCACCTTGTCAAAACAGACCAATCAGCTCTCTGTAAAACAGACCAATCGGCGCTCTGTAAAATGGACCAATCAGTAGGATGTGGGTGCCACCAGATAAGGGAATAAAAGCAGGCTGCCCTGAGTTAGCAGTGGCAATCCGCTTGGGTACCCTTCCATAGTGTGGAAACTTTGTTCTTTCACTCTTTGTGATAAATATTGCTGCTGCTCACTCTGAGTCCACACTGCGTTTATGAGTTGTAACACTCACTGCGAAAATCTGCAGTTTCACTCCTGAGGCCAGTGAGATCACGAACCCACCAGAAGAAACGCCGAACACATCTGAACATCAGAAGGAACAAACTCAGGACACACCACTTGTAAGAACTGTGACACTCACGGCGAGAGTCCACGGCTTCATTGTTCAAGTCAGACCAAGAACCCACCAATTCTGGATACACTTTCACTCCTGCCTTCAGCAGTGCCTGGGATTACTGGTCTAGAGTTTCTTTGGTTTCAGTATCTCCAGAGATAAAACCCTAAGCTGTTAAAAGGGAGAGAGGTGTATTCATCCAAGTCCTTGAGTGGAAGGAGTGATCTGGAGCTGAGAGACAGTTCCTAGCTACATTGTATTTCAACTATCCTTCCTGTATTTAGTCACATGCCACACCCAAATCTTTAGAGGAACCCAGTTGCAATTCCCGAATCTTTCCAGGATTCCACAGAATTAATAATCTACCAGTAGTTGACTTACTCTCACCCCCAATGGAGGCCTGTATGTTGAAGCTTTCTCTGTTGTGTTGGAGAGTTACCACTCATCTGCCTATTACCTTCAAAAAAACAAAAATTAAATATCTCCTCTGCTGTTATCTCTCCATCGTTTGTCCTTGTGGAGGTATGTGTTTTGTTATTTCTCTACTTTTTATTCTTCTATGAAATCCGTAAGCCTCCATATATACTTATTCTTTTATTCATTCCAATTGGGGTCTACCCCATCATGCAAATCTGTTTTCAATAAACTAAACTCACTTCCATATTGTCTCTGAATCCAATGGACATGGCCCAGGCCATATCTTACTTGATCTCTCTGCAAAAATCAATTCAGCTAACTGCCATATTTTTCTAGAGCCTCTCTATTCTCTTGACTTCCTTGATTCACTTTTTAGAGTTTTCTTTCTGCCTTAGTGGATGCTCCTTCTCAGTCTCATTAATTTGCGTCTCCTCCTCTATCTGAGTGATGCAGTGGCCAGAGCTTGGTCCAGCGCCCTATTCTCCAACTATACTCTCCCAGACAAGTGATCTCAGTCAGCTTCATGGCTTTAAATACAATGTATATTTAAATGACTTCCAGTTTCACGTCTTTTGATCTGATTTCTCCTCTGAGAACTAAGTGCAGGTTTCCAACTGCCAACAGTCTCCTGGATATCTAATGGGCACAAAAAGTTCAAAGTCTAATATTTCCAACTTCCACTTCATCCCTATTCATTCAGATAAATAGAACTAATTTCCAACTCTGCGTAAGCCCCAAAGCTAGAAGTTGTTCTTGACTTCTTTTCTTGTCATCCACCACATGCAGCCTTTCAACACTTCCTATTGGTTCTACTTTTCTAATTTCAAAACATAGCTTGTATTCATCCACTGAAATGTATCTCCCCTGCTACCATCCTAGTTCAAGCAATAATTACTGCTCTTAATTTTTTCACTCTTGCCCTCCTACATGCCAGTTTTCACACAGCATCTTTTAAAAACATAAATCAGTTTTGTTTTCTACTTTCTCTTCCCTTCCTGAATGATTAAGCCCCAGATCATTAGGTGAGGCAGAGCAAAGCAGATATCAGGGTTGGACAGGAGGGGAGACAGCAGTGGCCCAGAGAAGGATATAAGAAACTGAACTGGGCCGGGTGCGGTGGCTCACGCCTGTAATCCTAGCACTTTGGGAGGCTGAGGTGGGCAGATCACCTGAGGTCAGGAGTTCGAGGGCAGCCTGGCCAACATGGCAAAACTCTGTTTCTACTAGAAATACAAAAATTAGCTGGGTGTGGTAGCGCATGTCTGTATTTCCAGCTACTCAGGAGGCTGAGGCAGGAGAATCCCTTGAACCCGGGAGGTGGAAGTTGCAATGAACCGAGATAGCACCACTGCACTCCAGCCTGGGTGACAGAGCAAGAAACTAAATTGGATGAAGTGGACTTCTCCACAGAGTGGCAGCCTGGCATGTTTTGTCAGAATCTTGTGAGGGTGAGAGGGAGTATGGGGTGGAGGGAGTATGGGCTGAAAATGAATGAATAGAATACCAGTGATTTTGTGAGACAATGTTTTGTCTACAATATGTGTTATTGAAGTTCCAGAAAAAAAGGGAACCGAAAACATGTTTAAAGAAATAGTAGCTGAAAAAATTAAATTTGATGAAAACTATAAACTCACAGATCCCAAGAACTCAACAAATATCAAGGAAAATAAACTTTAAAAAATCATACCAAAGTACAACGTAATCAAATAACTAAAAATCAGTGATAAAAGGGAAATCCTAGAACGAGCTAGAAAAGACACATTGTATAGAGAGGAGCAAAGACAAGCATAACAGACTTCCTGTGAAAAACCATGACAACCAGAAGATAAAGAAGCAACATCATTAAAATACTGAAAGAAAAAAATACTTTATCAACCTAGAATTACACGGAGTAAGAATATTTTCAATATGAAGATGAAATGAAGGCTTTTCTAGACAAGCAAAAACTGGAAGACCTTGCCTCCTGGAAATTGACTTTTTTTTTTTTTTTTTTTTTTTTTTTTGATACGGAGTTTCGCTCTTGTTGCCCCAGGCTGGAGTGTAATGGCACGATCTTGGCTCACTGCAACCTCTGCCCCCCGGTGAGAGGTGACAGCGTGCTGTCAGTCCTCAGAGCCCTCGCTTGCTCTCGGCACCTCCTCTGCCTGGGCTCCCACTTTGGCGGCACTTGAGGAGCCCTTCAGCCCACCGCTGCACTGTGGGAGTCCCTTTCTGGGCTGGCCGAGGCCAGAGCCGGCTCCCTCAGCTTGCAGGGAGGTGTGGAGGGAGAGGCGCGAGCGGGAACCGGGACTGTGCGCGGCGCTTGCGGGCCAGCTGGAGTTCCGGGTAGGCGTGGGCTTGGCGGCCCCGCACTCGGAGCAGCCAGCGGGCCCTGCAGGCCCCGGGCAGTGAGGGGCTTAGCACCCGGGCCAGTGGCTGCGGAGGGTGTACTAGGTCCCCCAGCAGTGCCGGCCCACTGGCGCTGCACTGGATTTCTCACTGGGCCTTAGCTGCCTTCCCATGGGGCAGGGCTGGGGACCTGCAGCCCGCCATGCCTGAGCCTCCCACCCCCTCCATGGGCTTCTGTGCGGCCGGAGCCTCCCCGATGAGCGCCGCCCCCTGCTCCAGGGCGCCCAGTCCCACCGACCGCCCACGGGCTGAGGACTGTGAGCGCATGGCGTAGGACTGGCAGGCAGCTCCACCTGCGGCCCCGGGGCGGGATCCACTGGGTGAAGCCAGCTGGGCTCCTGAGTCTGGTGGGGACGTGGAGAGTCTTTATGTCTAGCTTAGGGATTGTAAATACACCAATCAGCACCCTGTGTCTAGCTCAGGATTTGTGAGTACACCAATGGACACTCTGTATCTAGCTGCTCTGGTGGGGCCTTGGAGAACCTTTATGTCTAGCTCAGGGATTGTAAATACACCAATCGGCACTCTGTATCTAGCTCAAGGTTTGTAAACACACCAATCAGCAACCTGTGTCTAGCTCAGGGTTTGTGAGTGCACCAATCAACACTCTGTATCTAGCTGCTCTGGTGGGGCCTTGGAGAACCTTTATGTCTAGCTCAGGGATTGTAAATACACCAATCGGCACTCTGTATCTAGCTCAAGGTTTGTAAACACACCAATCAGCACCCTGTGTTTAGCTCAAGGTTTGTGAGTGCACCAATCGACACTCTGTATCTAGCTGCTCTGGAGGGGCCTTGGAGGACCTCTGTGTCCATATTCTGTATCTAACTAATCTGATGGGGACGTGGAGAACCTTTGAATGTAGCTCAGGGATTGTAAACGCACCAATCAGCACCCTGTCAAAACAGACCACTTGGCTCTACCAATCAGCAGGATGTGGGTGGGGCCAGATAAGAGAATAAAAGCAGGCTGCCCGAGCCAGCAGTGGCAACCTGCTTGGGTCCTTTTCCACACTGTGGAAACTTTGTTCTTTTGCTTTTTGCAATAGATTTTGCTACTGCTCACTTTTTGGGTCTACACTGTTTTTATGATCTGTAACACTCACCGTAAAGGTCTGCAGTTTCACTCCTGAAGCCAGCGAGCCCACGAGCCCACTGAGAGGAAGGAACAATTCCACACGCACGGCCTTAAGAGTTGTTAACACTCACTGTGAAGGTCTGCAGCCTCACTCATGAGCCAGCGAGAGCACAAACCCACCAGAAGGAAGAAACTCCGAACACATCCGAACATCAGAAGGAGCAAACTCCAGACATGCCACCTTAAGAGCTGTAACACTCACTGTGAGGGTCTGTGGCTTCATTCTTGAAGTCAGTGAGACCAAGAACCCACCAATTCCGGACACACTGGGTTCAAGCGATTCTCCTGCCTCAGCCTGTCGAGTAGCTGGGATTACAGGCATGTAATTAGCCACACCATGCCTGGCTAATTTTGTATTTTTAGTACAGATGGGGGTTCTCAATTTTGGTTAGGCTGGTATCGAACTCCTGGTGATCTGCCTGCCTCTGCTTCCCAAAATGCTGGGATTACAGGCGTGAACTGACGGGCAAGACTGACATTTTTTTTTAAATGTAAAAGTTCTTCAGGAAGAAAAAATTTAGATCTATGCAAAAAAGAATGAAGTGTGCTGGAAATGATAAATATATGGGTAAAAATAAAATTTTTTTCATTTAAATTTTAAAAGATAATATACTTGAGTAACAATGAATTATGAGGCTTATATGTAGACATAAAATGTATGACAACAGTGGTACAAGGGATAGAAAAAGGAAATGGAAGTGTACTGTGTTGAGACTCTCATGCCTTTACAGGAAGAGGAATGAGCTCACTGGGAGGTAGACAGTGATAAAGGTGTATATCGTAAATCCTAGAGCAAAGGCACACAAATAAGAATGATATTTAATAAGCTAATGGTGGAAATAAAATGGGGTCAAAAATGACTCAGGTCATGGTGCAGCGGTTTATGCCTGTAATCCCAGCCCTTTGGGAGGCTGAGGCAGGTGGATCACTTGAGGCCAGGAGTTAGAGACCAGCCTGGGCAACGTGGTGAAACCCTGTCTCTACTAAAAATACAAAAATTAGCTGGGCGTGGTGGCACATGCCTGTGGTTCCAGCTACTCAGGAGGCCGAGGCAGGAGAATCACTTGAACCTGGGAAGTGGAATTGGCAGTGAGCTGAGATCCCATCACTGCACTCCAGCCTGAGTGACAGATCAAGACGCTCAAAAAACAAAACAAAACAAAAAACAAAATACTGGGTTAATTAAAAAAAAAAAAAGTAGGTGAAAAATGGAGGAAAAGGTAAGAAGATCAGACGAGAAAAATAGAAAACAAATATGAAGACTATTAAATTCAGGGCCAGCTACAGTGGTTCACACTTGTAATTCCAGCACTTTTTGGGGCTGAGGCAGGAAGATTACTTGAGCCCAGGAGTTCGAGACAAGCCCAGGCAACATAGGGAGACCCCATCTTTACAAGAAATAAAAATTAAAAAGTAATTAGCCAGGCATCATGACTCGTGCCTGTGATCCTAGATAGTTCGGAGGCTGAGGCAGGAGGATTTCTTGAGCTTAGGAAGTCAAGGCTGCAGTCAGCCGTGATTGTGCCACTGCATTATAGCCTGAGTGACAGAGCAAGACTCTGTCTCTAAAAAAGAATCAGACCCAACGTATTTATAATTACATTAAATGTATATGGTCCAGACACCACAATTAAAAGGCAGAGATTGACACATTGGTTAAAAAAGAAAGCCCCAAATAAATAATATTCAACCAAGAAATACATTTTAACTAACTATAACTACAAATAGGGTAAACAATAGGATAAAAATAAGAGGAAGAAAGATACGGCCATACTGTATGTTAGCCATGCTAACATCAATTTAGAAAAAAATTGAGTGACTATTTCAAAATCAGACAAAATAGGCTTAAGAAGAGGTATATTATTAGGGATAAAGAGAGACATTTCACAATTATAATCACAACACAATATTTACTAACTACAAAGGGAGAAAAACCAGCCTGGATACACCTTCTTAATCAAGTAATCCAAGAGAACATCATCAATGATGGGACACATTGATATTATCTGTCACCTGATAGTATGCAAAGAGAAGAATACAGCATCACTTCAGTGGTTTTCCTGGCAAAGATTAATAACATGAGCCTAATCATGATGAAACATTACAAAAACTCAGTTTAAGGAAAATTCTATAAAATAATTGACCTGTAATCTTCAAAGGTTAAAAGTTATGAAGATCAAAGGAAGACTGAAGAACTGCACCAGACTGAAGAAGACTAAAGAGACAGAACAACGAAAAACAACACACGATTCTGAATTGAACTGGTTTACTATTAAAGACATTATTAGAACAACTAACAAAACTTGAAAGGGATCTAAGGATCAGGTGGCAGCAATATATTCATGTGAATTTCTTGATCTTGATGGCTGTATTATGGTTGCGTATGAGAATATATAAAGTATTGAAGGATAATGAGACATCAGGTTACCAAGTAACTCCCAAATGATTCAGGGAAAAGGGTTCTTTGTGTTATACTTGTTACAAAAGAATTTGTGATTTTTTTTTCAAAATAAAAACAAAGAGAAATTAACCAGAGTATGTTATTCCAGTGGGTCTTCATTGTATTTGAGATGAAATTTAACCTTTCTACCATGGTATTTTGCTAAACTCTGAGTATACCCCTGTCAGCAAAAGAAATGTGGGCTTATGTTCTTGTAAAGAAGAGTTTAGAATATAAAGAATGTAAATACACCTTTGGGTTATGTGTTGTTAAAAAGGCAGGGGTCCTGCTTCAGAGATTATGGTTAGAAAAGGTCTCTCTACCGCCTCGTTTTCTCCTTCAGTAACTACATTCCAGCCACCCTGGTCTCCTATTTATTCATGAATCACATCGAGCTCATTAACAACTCAGGGTATTTGTACTTATGCTATCAATCTGTGATGTCCTTCTCCTGGCCTTTCAAATTGCTGCCTTCTTTTTTTTTTTTTTTTTTTTAAGATGGAGTTTTGCCCTTGTTGGCCAGGCTGGAGTGCAGTGGTGCAATCTTGGCTCACTGCAACCTCCTCCTTCCCGTTCAAGTGATTCTCCTGCCTCAGCCTCCTGAATAGCTGGGATTATAAGCATGCGCCACCATGCCTGGCTAATTTTGTATTTTTAGTAGAGATGGGGTTTCTCCATATTGGTCAGGCTGGTCTTGAACTCCCGGCCTCAGGTGATCCGCCTGGGATTACAGGCTTGAGCCACTGCGCCCAGCCCAAATGGCTGCCTTCTTATCCTTCAGATCTCAGTTCATATGTCAGTTCCTCAGAGAGACCTTTTCTGACTCCAGTATCTAAAGCAGCACCACTGCTTTCTTTAACAGCACTTAAGCCAATGTGTATTTATATTTTATGTTGTAGCTCTCTTCTTTACTAAATTATAAGCCCATATCCCTTTTGCTGACAGGAGTATGCCCAGAGTTTAGTAAAATACCAGGTACATGTTAAGCCCTCAATAACTGAATAAATAAATGAATAAGAAGTACTGAGTATATGTGAAAGTAACACTATACTAAACCTGCAAATTCGTCTTTAACCCATTCCCACCACCTTATTTGTTCTCCACCTCAGGCTCTGAGAATACCACAGCCTTCACAAAAGGCTCCGACACCACCACAGCCTCCATCACAGGCTCTGAGACCACCATGGCCTCCACCATGGCCTCTACTTCGGCCTTAACTACAGGCTCTAAGATCACCACAGACTCTACCACAGGCTCTGAGACAACCTCAGCCTCCACCATGGCTTCTACTGCAGCCTTCACCACAGGCTCTGAGACCAACACGGCCTCTACCACAGACTCAGGGACTACTATAGCCTCCACTAGGACCTTCACCACAGGCTCTGACACAACCACAGTCTCCACTGCAGGCTCTGAAACTATCGTGGCCTCCACCACAGTCTCTGGGACCACAACAACCTTTACTATAGCCTCCACTACAGTCCCTGAGACTACCATGGCCTCCAGCACAACCTCCACTGCAGGCTCTGAGAAAACGATGGCCTCCTCCATAATTTCTGAGACCACCATGGCCTCCACCACAGGCTCTGAGACTGCCACAGTCTCTACCACAGGCTCTGAGACCACCACCACCTCCACTGCAAGCTCTGAGGCCACTAAAGTCTCTACCACAGGCTCTGAAACCACCACAGCATCTACTGCAGGTTCTGAGACCACCACTACCTCCACCTCCATGGCAGGCTCTGAGGCCACCACAACCTCAACTGCAGACTCCAAGGTGATCACGGCGTCCAGCATGAGCTCTGAGACCACTGTGGCCCCCGCTGCAGGCTCTAACACCACCACAGCCTCTACCACAGGCTCTGAGACCACTACAATCCTGATTAAAGCCTCTGAGACCACCACAGCCTCTACAGCAGGTTCTGAGACCACCACCCCCTCCCCCACAGGCTCTCAGACCACCATAGTCTCTATTTCAGGTTCTGAGATCACCACCACCTCTACGGCAGGATCCGAGAACACCACAGTCTCTAGTGCAGGCTCTGGGACCACCACAGCTTCTATGGCAGGCTCTGAGACCACCGTCTCCACTGCAGGCTCTGAGACCACTACAGTCTCTATCACAGGCACTGAGACCACCATGGTCTCTGCCATGGGCTCAGAGACCACCACAAACTCTACTACAAGCTCTGAGACCACCGTCACCTCTACTGCAGGCTCTGAGACCACCACAGTCTCCACCGTGGGCTCTGAGACCACCACAGCCTATACTGCAGATTCTGAGACCACTGCAGCCTCTACCACAGGCTCTGAGATGACCACAGTCTTCACTGCAGGCTCGGAAACCATCACACCCTCTACTGCAGGCTCAGAGACCACCACAGTCTCTACTGCAGGCTCTGAGACCACTACAGTCTCCACCACAGGCTCTGAGACCACAACAGCCTCTACTGCACATTCTGAGACGACTGCAGCCTCCACCATGGGCTCTGAGACCACCAAAGTCTCAACTGCAGGCTCTGAGACCACAGTCTCCACTGCAGGCTCTGAGACCACTGCAGCCTCTACTGAAGATTCTGAAACCAACACAGCATTTACTGAAGATTCTAAGACTACCACAGCCTCTACTACAGGGTTTGAGACAACCGCAGCCTCTACTACAGGCTCTGAGCCTACCATGGCATCCACCATGGGCTCTGAGACCACTATGGCCTCTACCATAGGCCCTGAGACCACCAAGGTCTCCACTGCAAGCTCTGAGGTGACCACAGTCTTTGCTGCAGGCTCTGAGACAATCAGAGCCTCTACCGTAGGCTCTGAGACCACCACAGTCTCTACCACAGGCTCTGAGACCACCACAGCCTCCATCATGGGCTCTGAGACCAGCACAGATTCTACCACAGGCTCTGAGACCACCACAGCCTCTACTGAAGGCTCTGAGACCACCACAGCTTCCACTGAAGGCTCTGAGGCCACTACAGTCTCCACTACAGGCTCTGAGACCACTACAGTTTCTATCACAGACTCAGAGACCACCACCACCTGTACTGAAGGCTCTGAGATGACTGCAGTCTCCACCACAGTCTTTGAGACCACTACAGCCTCTACTGAAGGCTCTGAGATCACAATAGCCTCTACTTCAGACTCTGAGACCACCACAGCTTCTACTGAAGGTTCTGAGACCACTACAGTCACTACCGCAGGCTCTGAGACCAAAACAGCCTATACTACAGGCTCTGAGACCACCACAGCCTCTAATACAGGCTTGGAGACCACCACAGTCTTTACCATAGGCTCTGACACCACCACAGCCTCTACTGAAGGCTCTGAGACCACTGCAGTCTCTGCCACAGGCTCTGAGATGACCACAGTCTCTACTGAAGGCTCTGAGAACACTACAGTCTCCACCACAGGCTCTGAGACCACTACAGTTTCCACCACAGGCTTGGAGACCACCACCACTTCCACTGAAGGCTCTGAGATGACTACAGTCTCCACCACAGGTGCTGAGACCACCACAGACTCTACTGAAGGCTCTGGGACCACTGCAGCCTCCACTGCAGGCTCTGAGACCACCACAGTCTCTACTGCAGATTCTGAGAACACCACAGCATCTACTGCAGATTCTGAGACCACCTCAGCCTCTACTACAGGCTCTGAGACCACCACAGCCTCTACTACAAGCTCTGAGACCACCACAGCCTCTACTGAAGGCTCTGAGACCACTACAGTCTCCACCACAGACTCTGAGACCACCATGGTCTCTACCACAGGCTCTGAGAGGACCATCACCTCTACTGAAGGCTCTGAGACCACTACAGTATCTGCCACAGGCTCTGAGACCACAGTCTCTACTGAAGGCTCTGGGACCACTACAGTCTCCATCACAGGCTCTGAGACCACTAAAGTTTCTACCACAGGTTCAGAGACCACCACCACTTCTACTGAAGGCTCTGAGATTACTACAGCCTCCATCACAGGCTCTGAGACCACCACAGCCTCTACTGAAGGCTCCGAGACCACCACAGCCTCTACTGAAGGCTCCGAGACCACCTCAGCCTCTACTACAGGCTCTGAGACCACCACAGCCTCTACTACAAGCTCTGAGACCACCATGGCATCCATCATGGGCTCTGAGACCACTATGGCCTCTACCATAGGCTCTGAGACCACCAAGGTCTCCACTGCAAGCTCTAAAATGACCACAGTCTTCACTGAAAACTCTGAGACCACCATAGCCTCTACCACAGCCTCTGAGACCACCACAGTCTCCACTGCAGGCTCTGAGACCATCCCAGCCTCTACAGCAGGCTCTGAGACCACCACCACCACCTCTACTGAAGGCTCTGAGACCACTACAGCCTCTACTGAAGGCTCTGAGACCACCACAGCCTCTACTGAAAGCTCTGAGACCACTACAGCCACTACCATAGGCTCTGAGACCACCACAGCCTCTACTGAAGGCTCTGAGACTACCACCACCTCTACTGAAGGCTCTGAGACCACCACAGCCTCTACTGAAGGCTCTGAGATCACTACAGTTTCTACCACAGGCTCTGAGACCACCACAGCCTCTACTGAAGGCTCTGAGACCACCACAGCCTCTACTGAAGGCTCTGAGCTCACTACAGTTTCTACCACAGGCTCTGAGACCATCACAGTCTCTGCTGAAGGCTCTGAGACCACTACAGTCACTACTATGGGCTCTGAGACCACCACGGCCTCTACTGCAGGCTCAGAGACCACCACAGTCTCTACTGCAGGCTCTGAGACCACCACAGCCTCTATTGAAGGCTCTGAGACCACTACAGTCTCCTCCACAGGCTCTGAGACCACCACAGTCTCTACCACAGGCACTGAGACTACCATCACCTCTACTGAAGGTTCAGAGACCACTACAGTCACTACTGCAGGTTCTGAGACCACAGCAGTCTATACCACAGGCTCTGAGACTACCACCACCTCTACTGAAGGCTCTGAGACAACCACAGTCTCTACCACGGGCTCTGAGACCACCACAGCCTCTACCGCAGATTTGGAGACCACCACAGTCTCCACCTCAGGCTCTGGGACCACCACAGCCTCTACCGCAGGCTCTGAGACCACAACAGTCTATATCACAGGCTCTAAGACTACCACCGCCTCTACTGAAGGCTCTGAGGCCACTACAGTTTCTACCACTAGCTCTGAGACCACCACAGCCTCTACCACAGGCTCTGAGATGACTACAGTCTTTACCACAGTCTCTGAGACCACCACAGTCTCTACCATAGGCTCTGAGGCCACCACATCCTCTGCTGCAGGCTCTGAGGCCACCACCACCTCTACTGAAGGCTCTGAGACCACCACAGCCTCCACTGCAGGCTCTGAGACCACCACAGCCTCCACTGCAGGCTCTGAGACCACCACAGCCTCCACTGCAGGCTCTGAGACCACCACAGCCTCCACTTCAGGCTCTGAGACCAACACAGCCTGTACCACAGGTTCTGAGACCTCCACACCCTCCAGTGCAGGCTCTGAGACCAACACTGCCTTCATCATAGGCTCTGAGACCACCATAGCTTCCACTGCAAGCTTGGAGCCCACTGCAACTTCCCTCACAGGCTCTGAGACCACCACAGTCTCTATCACAGCTTCTGGGGCCACTGCAGCCTCCACCACTGTCTCTTCCACCACGTTTGTACTCACCAAGGCCACTGACGTTTCTATCCAGCCCATCACCAACACACCTATGTCAGGTACTAACCCCCATGTCTTCTTTGAGCCCACACATTTTAACTCCAGTGGCAACCACCAGCTGTTCACCTGTTTCTATCATCTCTGCCCTGGTTCAAGTCAAGCCAGCACACAGTTAGATATAATTTCCTCTTCTAGGCTGGGCGCGGTGGCTCATGCCTGTAATCCCAGCACATTGGAAGGCTGAGGCGAGCGAATCACGAGATCAGGAGATTGAGACCATCCTGGCTAACACGGTGAAATCCAGTCTCTACTAAAAATACAAAAAATTAGCTGGGCGTGGTGGCGGGCACCTGTAGTCCCAGCTACTCGGAAGGCTGAGGCAGGAGAATGATGTGAATCCGGGAGGTGGAGCTTGCAGTGAGCAGAGATCGCGCCATTGCATTCCAGCCTGGGCGACAGAGCGAGACTCCGTCTCAAAAAAAAAAAAAAAAAAAATGTCCTCTTCTGGAATCCTAATTGCCTCTACTCTGGTCTCACCTCTTTTTTTTTAAGTGCCCACCACTTCCATTGCAATCAGAACCACAATATAGTAAACCACAAGTGCATCATATCTGTCACATCTTCCTCCAGCAAGCCCGCCTCAACTCTACTGGCCCATCACAGTTTTGTGAAATGCTCCCACTTCGGTGCCAAGTAGATTATCTCTATTCAACCAACCATCTGTGACACTGCCACCTCCTATCAATGTATTGACTCTAGACCAGAGGCTGGCAGACCACATTTCATGGGTCAAGTCTCACCTGTTACCTGGTTTTGTAAAGTTTTACTGGAACATAGTCATGCCCATTCATTTATGGTTTGTCTCCAGCTGCTTTTCTGCTTTTCCGTGTATTTGCAACAGAGACAGCCTGGCCCAAAAGCCTAAATTATTTGCTGTTTGGACCTTTACAGAAAAAATTTGGCAACCTTTGCTCCAGTCTGAGACCAAACAATTTTGTTCATTCTCTGGCACTTGCCATCAGCAAGCCGGTTACATCTGATTCTATCCTCTTGGTTCTAAGCATACTCACTTCTATTCTCATGACTGGTGCTGTTTGTGATCCCATTTTAACCACTTCTGACCTAGGCACACCCATCGCTACCTAAGCCGCCACCACCGCCTCTGCTGTGTTGATTCGTGCTCACACCTGTCTGAGCCCACCCTCTCCTATCCCTGTGAGCAGCCTTCTCCACTTGGGTCAGGTCCTCCTACATCTGCCCAAGCACACTCACCTCACCTTTGCTGATCACCACAGTGTGGTAGATGATGTCACCTCTGTCCCAGCCACGGCCACTGGCATGCCCATGAGTGAATCCAATTCTACCATCTCCTCCTCCAGCTCCCTCCTTACACCCAGTGATCACAGTCACAAAAGAAGCAGGGCCTGCCGCTTTGTATACCAGCCCACCCACTTATTTGATCTGCTTTGATTTATTTATTTTCAATTTTTTCCATAAGTTATTGGGATGCAGGTGGTATTTGGTTATATGAATAAGTTCTTTAGTGGTGATTTGTGAGATTTTGGTGCACCCATCACCCTAGTAGTATACACTGCACCATATTTGAAGTCTTTTATCCCTCGCCCCCTCCCACTCTTCCCCCAAAGTCCCCAAAGTCCATTGCATCATTCTTATGTCTTCGTATTTCCATAGCTTAGCTCCCACATATCAGTGAGAACATACGATGTTCGGTTTTCCATTCCTGAGTTACTTCACTTAGAAGAATAGTCTAAAATCTCATCCAGGTCACTGCAAATGCTGTTAATTCATTCATTTTTATCAGCCCACCCTCTTCTATTTGGGTGGCCACTTCTGAAGTCAAATAGATCTTCCACTTCTGAACCCATCGCGATAACGTTTCCTCAAACTTCTGCCTCCTCCATCACCAACTCCACCAGGTGACACATTCTACCTCCTTCTCTGTATGACACCCACCTGCATTCTGGGGACATGGCCACAGCAGAATCGCTTTCTACCATCTCTCCTCCCCCACCACACCTCTCCTGAGCCACCTCCACCATAGGTTTGTTAGATTCACCCTCCTCTGGTCTAAGCACCCCCATTCCCCTTTAATCATCTCTGCTACAAATGCATCATCTTGTGTGACCTGTTTCATAGGCACCAGAACCACTGGAACCAGACTCACTGCCTCCAGCTCTGTCACCATGGCCCCTGGAATGGACTTCACGGCCTCTGCTGCCAGCCATACTGTGCCAGGAATAGTCTTAAACACCTCTGGCCTGGGTACATCCACTATGGGAGCATCATCTACCACCTCAGCCCACGGCGTCAGGACCACCACAGGATCCACCCGTGAGCCAACCAGCAGCACCTTCCAGGAAACAGGCCCGGTGTCCATGGGCACAAACACAGTTAGCATGAGCCACACACCCACAAACGTGATCAAACCAAGTGGATATTTACAGCCCTGGGCTATCATCCTCATTTCCCTGGCTGCAGTTGTGGCTGCTGTTGGATTGTCAGTAGGACTGAGTTTTTGTCTGGTGAGTACCCAGGGTGGGTTCATAGGGGAGCCTGGCAAGAAGGCAGGGGGGAATCATGTCAGCAGTGCTTTGGAAAAATCCAGAATGAGAAAGGGGAGTAAGTTGGTGCGCTCAGAAGGAAAGAATCACCTAGCCTGATATAAGGACCAGAGAGAATGCTTAAGTCAGAGAAAGTGAGAAGCAAAGTAGAAAAAGAGGAGGGAAAAGATGGAGTTGGGGCCAAAGTGAAGGGAAATACTGACAGAACAAGGGAAATACTGAGAGAGAACAAGGAGGACATAAACATAAAGAAAGCAAGAAGCAGCTGGGCGCAGTGGCTCACCCCTGTAATTCCAGCACTTTGGAAGGCCAAGGAGGGCGGATCACTTGAGTCCAGGCATTTGAGACCAGCCTGGCCAACATGGTGAAACTTGTCTTTACTAAAAATACAAAAATTAGTCGAGAGTGGTAGCATGGACCTGTAGTCCCAGCTACTTTGGAGGCTGAGGCACGAGAATTGCTTGAACCTGGGAGATGGAGGTTGCAGTGAGCAGAGATCGTGCCACTGCACTCCAGCCTGAGTGACAGAGCAAGATCCTGTCTCGAAAGGAAGGAAGAAAGAAAAGAAAGGTAGGAAGGAAGGAAGGAGAGAGAGAGAGAAAAAGAGAAAGAATGAGGAAGAAAGGAAGAAAGCAAGAAAGAGAAAGAAAGGAAGAAAGAAAGAAAGAAACTGAGAGAGAAAGAGAAAGAAAAAAGAAAGAAGGAAAGAAAGAGAGAGAGAAATAGAGAAAAGAAAGAAGCATAAGAATGTTCAGCCATCCAAAATGCGGGCTTCCGATCGTCTCATGTATGACAAATTTCTGGTCCTCACAGCAATTCCTTGTGTGGCCTGTGACTGTTACTCTCTGACCTCCCACTCCATCTCTGCTCTCTGGTCTTGATTGTTCTTTGAATACATATTTTTCTTACATCGATTTCACATTTATTGATGTTCTTCCTGTTTTCTTGTGATCCTGCGGGTAAGTTACCATTTGAGGAGTGAAGCAGAGTATAAATCAGTGGTGTGCTGGAGCTGGCTCATCCTGGCCCACAAGAGATTGTGCAGTTCTTCCCAATTCTGAGCTGAGTGATGTGACACTGGTAGCTTAAAATATGCTGGGTTGGAAATACTTACACCACAGCAATTGTCAAACACTACAAATCAGCACTTTTCCCTCGGAGAGCCTGTTATTAAGTGTTGGACAGCATACCACTGGTAAAAATGGACAAAATGAAAAATACGGAAGTCACAAAAGATTTGGATAATATAGTCAATTTGCTGAGGTTCTTTGTTTTAGAATTCTCAGCCTCTCTCCGTATGTGGACTACATAATAAATACCAGCATCTAAGAATTACTCCCTAAATTACTTTATTATTTCATTTGCAAGATCAAGAGAGAATAACGAAAGTGAACATTGAGTTTTTACTGCCTGCTAGGCTCAAGGCTGAATGTTTAAAATGCATAATGTTATTTAATCTGGCCTACAATCCCGTGGCCATATTATATTCATCTTACAAGTAAGGGATCTGGAGCTTCATGATCTTAGCTATTTGCCCCAGCACATGTAGTGAGTGGCAGATATAAGACTCTAACTCAGGTTAGTTGGATTCTGGAGTTCATGCCTATAATCTCAAGGCTCTGTGTAGACAGCTTTCTAGAGCTCTCAATTCCACGTACCTGTTCTGAGCTTTCTTAGCTGACTAACAAAGAGAAAGACTGTCTGTAAAGTGAGTCTCTGTGCCTTTCACATAGGGGTATGGATTTACCTTTGTCTTGGAAGTCCAAAAACACATAACCTTATGATCTGCAGAGCTAGGGCCTGAGTACGCACATAAAGATGATATGTTAATAAGGTAACAAGGAAGCTTATTTTGTCAGACGGAGAAAGAGTAAAAGAACAAGGAAAAAGAGAGACAGAGACAGAGATCATAGTAAGGATGGTGGTAAAGAGAAGAGAACATGGGAAGTTTGGAAAAGTGAAAATCTGACATTGGTGAAACAGGCATGTATGGTGATTAGGGAGAGGAGACTTAATTTTCATTTATCAATGTATTTATTTTTTTCTTTTAGAGAAACCTTTTCTTCCCCCTGAGATATTGTGGTATTTATTACCCCCATGGCCACAGCCACAGCCTTGGTCTGGACCTGAACTTGGGCCTGGGCTCTGGGACATTCCACAGCCTGGGAAATGCACTGGTTCATGGAGGAGAACTTGAAATGGGACATGGAGGAACACACGGCTTTGGATATGGAGTGGGCCATGGACTGAGCCACATCCATGGAGATGGCTACGGAGTGAATCATGGCGGGCATTATGGACATGGAGGAGGCCACTGAGGACACCATGGAGTGGATCACAGAGGGAGCCACCAAGGAGGCCACGGCAGGACAAGATGGCTGTGGCCATAGATTGGGTATCAAAACATATTATGGGTGGGAGGGGGTCATGGAGGAGAAAAAAATAATGATCATGAAATAATTAAAATGGAGCATAGGAAGCTTCCCAGGATGTGATCCATGGAGATGGACATGGACTAGGTCAAGAAAAGAACCAGCAAAAGGACCTCAGAGACTTTGACTGGCTTGGAGGGGACTTCAAGTCAAAGCTTCTGTGAGTTTTTCCTGAGTCTCAGCCTCTGTTGTGGGGAGTCACGACAACCACCCTCAGGACATCTTCTCTCCCATTTCCCGCCACATCAGGGTCAACGTTTCTCATCCCTGTGTTTCCTCATGGTGCTATAAATATTACCAAGACATGTCTAAGAAACAAAAGCACATAATGAATGTATTATCAGGGCCACACACGTATTCGTTTTCCTGTTTGTTCTTTCAGGTTTTGTTTTTTTTTTTTTTTTTTGAGTGCTTATTATGTACCAATCACTATCCCAGGAGCCTTTAAATACGTCATCATTTGGCTGGGTGTGGTGGCTCACGCCTGTAATCCCAGCACTTTGGGAGGCCAATGCGGGTGGATCACTTGAGGTCAGGAGTTCGAGACCAGCCTGGCCAACATGGTGAAACCCCGTCTCTACTAAATAAATACAAAAATCAGCCAGGAGTGGTGGCGAGTGCCTATAATCCCAGCTACTCGGGATGCTGAGGCAGGAGAATCGGTTGAATCTGGGAGGTGGAGGTTGCAGTGAGCCGAGATTGTGCCACTGCACTCCAGCCTGGGCGACAGAGGAAGACTCTGTCTCAAAAAAAAAAAAAAGGTCATCATTTAATCCTCAGAAAATATCTTGGTGACCTTGAGGTAGGCAAAGATACTTAGATACTTAAGCAAGACACAAAAAGCACTAGCTATTAAAAGAAAGTGTGATGACTTGGACTTCATTAAAGCCTAGTATCAGCATATACCTTTAAGAGGTATATTCTTAACTATAAAAGGAAAGTCAAAGATGGGAGAAGATATTGCAACACATATAGCTAACAAACGACTCATATCCAGAATGCAGAAAGAGCTACAATAAGAAAAAGATGATGCAATTTTAAATTGGGCAAAATATTTGATAAATAGTTAGCAAAAGAGGATATCAAAACAGCCGGTGAACATTTGAAAAGGTACCCAATATCACTGCTTATCAGAAGTGGAATGTAAAACCGCAATGAGATACCACTACATACACACACTGTAATGACTAGCATTTGAAAGACTGCCAGTACCAAGTATTGGAAAGGACATTGAACAACTGGAACTCTCACACATTGTTAGTGGGAGTGTAAATTGATACAATTATCTTGGGAAAATGTTTGGCAATGCTAAAATTAAACACATACCCTATGACTCGGTACTTCCACTCCTGAGAGTAAATATCCAGCAGAAATGAATACCTGTGTCCACCAAAAGACATGTACCATGCCAGCTTCATTCATACCACTGCAGGGTGGAAATTTAACCCCAAAGTCCACTAACATTAGAACAGGTAAGTAAATTGTGACATATTCATGCAGTGGAATGCTACCCAGTAGTGAAAAAAAAAACCTATGAAATCACACAATAACATTAATGAATCTCATAGTCAGTGTTGAGTAAAAGAAGTCAAAACAAAAGTGTACCTACTGTATAATTCCATTCACATGCAGTTCAAGGCCATGTGACATTAACCTGTTGTAATAAAGGTCAGAGTTGAGGATGCCTTGGGAGAAAAGGCTGACCGGGAGAAGGCATGAGAAAGCCTTCTTGCAGGGGCAGACAGGGGAAGCTGAGAATGTTCTGTGTATGATCTGGGTGGTGATTACAAGGGTGTATAGATATGTAAAACTTCATTAAAATGTGCACATGAGATCTGTGCACTTTATGGTATGTAAGTTATGTCTCAATTTGAAAAATGAAAAAGATATTCTGAGGCTATTTTCTCAGCATATTATGATTTCCTTGGTCAGAGAATGTGGTTGGAGACACATGACGATAAATGAGGCATTTGGTAAGCCCAAAGACAGTGGTGCTGCAGGAAGCATTGTGTGCAAGGGAGGCAAGCAGCTATTTTCAATGAGGACAAATCACCTCTCTCTTTAGGTTGAAATAGGTCTGATATAATTAATCTGCCATTCTCTCTGGAGAATGGTGCCACATAACGGGGCCAACACTGATCTCTGCTGTTAGCAGTTGAGGCACTCAGCCATGGATTATCTGTCCAGCTTGGCCTTGGTGAGGGGAAGGCCAGCTCACTGAGCCTTGCATACGCTTCATCCCTGCCAGCCTGTCTGCTTTGTCCATGTCCCTGCTGAGCGAGCACTAGAGCAGCTGGAAAAAGAGATTGACTGACGTCTGCAGAATGGATCGCTTGGTCAACCTCATCATGGAAGATTTCCTCTGTAGTGAACGCCCATTGGTGAACAGTCACATGGGATGCACATACTCTCACCATCTGTGCCCTTCCCAAGAGACTCGTCCACCTTCCTCTTTCCCAGACTTCCTTGTCATCAATTCACCATGTCTTTCCTCACCCTGAGTTATCTAGCCAAACTGTTAGCCACTGCCTATTGATCAGGGTTAACTGTAACTGGTCATCTCTTTGCCCAGGCAAAGTAAACAAAGCAGATGCATTCTTTACAATTCGGATCACTGGGAGAATTTTCCTTCCCCACTGTCCTGCAGGGCTGCCGTGAGTGGGGTGGTAATGCTGCAGCAGCCTGCTCTCTGTGGTGTTAGAATAGCATGCAGAACCACCCACACACCAGAGGAAACCAAATCTTTCCTTTCTCAGTCAACTAGACATAGGAAACCCTTCATGTGACTGTGATTATGGAGAGAGAGGTTAGGAATGTAGCTGGAGATGCCACTGGAGTTACAGCTGCCTACTCATGCCTCTTACTTGTGCCTTGAGGAACTAACTCAGCCAAATTCACAGGCACCACTTCCATTCAAGGAGGTGAGCACTGCTAAGTATGCCCAGTCTAGTGTGGTGGTGCAGACAACACCCAGTTCATAAAGGGCAGCTCATGTTTCATGAACCCTCGCATGCTGAGGACCCAAGATTAAGTCAGATGCTAGGATGTGGAAGAGGGCTTGCTTTTGCTCCAAAACTCTGGGGACCTGTGCCGTGGCTCTTCTACTAGCTACCCAGTGTCTCCACACAGCTTTCTGATGTACCACAGACATTTTAGGCAACATTGGATCTAGTCAGCAATGTCTCAAGCAGCCTTATGGCCTTGCTTTGGTTCCCACTTGAAAGTGGGGAAATATGCGCAGACGGAGCCTAGAGATGAACTTCGAGTAAGATGTTATTTATGTTCTTTTTTTTTTGAGATGGAGTCTTGCTCTGTCGCCCAGGCTGGAATAGTGGCACGATCTTGGCTCACTGCAACCTCCGCCTCCCGCCTCCCGGGTTCAAGCGATTCTCCTGTCTCAACCTCTCGAGTAGGTGGGACTACAGGCGCCTGCCACCATGCCTGGCTAATTTTCGTATCTTTAGTAGAGCCAGGTTTTTACCTTGTTGGTCAGGCTGGTCTCAAACTTCTGACCTCAAGTAATCCACCTGCCTTGGCCCCACAAAGTGCTAGGATTGCCGGCATGAACCACTGTGCCCGGCCACGTCATTTATGTTCTAAGCCCCATAAGCTCCACCCTGACTTGTAGATCGCAATGATGTCTTGTATGTTACCCTAAAGGTTTGGGTGTTTTCATTTCCCCATTGCACTGTCACGATGATAAATGGCTGAGATTCCTTTTGAAAGCTAGGAGGAAGATTCGCGGCACATCCTGGTGGTGGTGGTGGATCTTGCTGCCTTCCCTTCATTTCTAGGTCTGTGAACAGGTTCGGGCCTGGGAATTAGGTGAGAGTCTGTGGCAACTCAAGTCAGCTCTCTGTTCAACCACCTGGATATTTTCACTTATATAGATCAAGTAAGATTTTAGTGGTTAATTGATTAATGATTAATTAGCCATAGCCAAAGAGCCCTGATTACAGCTCTGGTCGTGATGCCCACATCGATAATCATGCCTGTCTTGTCTCTGGAGGGAAAGCCCTACCACCCACCTACTGTTTCCTGAAGATTCCACCATGCCCACTGAAATCAGGAAGCTCATTTCAATGGTCAGATCATCCACCATTGCATTTAGCAAAGAGCTGCTACAGAGCTTTTCAACGATGCTGGTCCTCTCCCTTCTAATGCCTTGATGAAGACAGTTTCAATGGAACCTTCTGGGAGGACGTAATGAAAGAGTGAGTGAGCAAGTTGCACATATTAAATCCATTCCAACATAACTCTCTTCCTAAGTCTTTTGATTTTTTTCTTCCGCTTATACTAATGAAATACTGGGATCTCAACTTTATTTAGTGTAGGCCACCACTAAGTCCACATTTCAAGCAACCGAGAGAACTATTAGTGCAACTCACACCTACTTGAGCTAATGTTTTGAATCTAGAACATGTGATAAGTTCACCCATGTATTTGTTTTCTATCAGTGATAACTTACTACAAATGCAGCAGCTTAAACCAACACCCATTTATCAGACCACAGTTCTATGAGGCGGGTCTGGGGCCAGCATGACTGACTCCTTTGCTCAGTCTCACAGGTTAAAATGAAGGTGTTAGTTGAGCTGCATCCTCATCTGGAGGCTGGCATCTCTTTCAAGCTCACGTGGTTGTGGCAGAGTCCAGTTCCTTGTGTTTAGAGTTGAGGCCCCTGTTTCCTTGCTCACTGTCATCTATGGTTGTTTTCAGCCCCTAGATCTGACTCAACGCATGGAGCTGGAGGCCACGAGGGGTATTGTAATAGGGCCTGTGGTAGGCAGAATAACAGCCCCTCAAAAACATCCACGTTTCAATTCCCAGAACCTGGAAATATGTTACTTTATATGGCAAAAGGGACTCTGCATGCATGATCGCATTAAGGATCTTGTAATGGGGAGATTATCCTGGATTATCTGTATGGGCCCAATGTGATCACAAAGGTCCTTATAAGAGGGAGATGAGAGGCCGGGCGCAGTGACTCACACCTGTAATCTCAGCACTTAGGGAGGCTGAGGAGGGTAGATCACGAGATCAGGAGTTCGAGACCAGCCTGGTCAAGATGATGAAACCCTGTCTCTACTAAAAATACAAAATGTAGCCGGGTGTAGTGGTGGGTGCCTGTAATCCCAGCCACTCAGGGGGCTGAGGCAGGAGAATGGCTTGAACCCAGGAGGTGGAGGTTGCAGTGAGCCAAGATTGCGCCCCTGCACTCTAGCCTGGGCAACAGGGCAAGACTCAATCTCAAAAAAAAAAAAAAAAAAAGAGGGAGACAGGAGTCAGAGTCAGAGAGATTTGAAGATGCTGCGATGCAAGCTTTGAAGATGGAAGAAGGGGCCACAAACCAAGGAGTGCTGGAAGCCTCTAGCGGTGGAAAAGGTGAGTAAACAGATTCTTCTCTAGAGCCTCCAGAAGGACCACAGACCAGCTGACACCTTGACTTTAGCCCAGTAAAACCTATTTTAAACTTCCGATCTCCAGAACTGCAAGATAATATATCTGTGCTATCTTCAGCCTGAATTTGTGGTAATTTGTCATGCAGCAATAAGAAACTAATACAGGGCCTGAGGAAAATCTGTGTCCCCTTGCCAAGGGAGTGCTGTGAGGGCGTCACTATAGGGTCTTCAGGCAAGAGAAAGTGACTTCCTCACAGAGGGGAGGAGGGGCTACTTCTGCTGGCAAGGAAAGCTCTGCGGGATTTGGAGGTTCAAAGTTTTTCAGACTCATCAAAATCTACCCAGGTGTCTCCACTCCAATTCTGGGCTTCCGTTAACAAATATTCCAAATGTCACACACGAGACTGGCAAAGATATAAATGCAAGTTGAATATAATTCTCCAATCTGCAGAATCAAACTGTGGGTCTGGTTTTTTCATACATAGTCCCTGTGGCTTTGAGAGATAAGCATGTCTTTTAGAATATTCAGAGAAAGCTCTGTGTTCGCTGGCAATGCCTTGACTGAGGATGCAGCAGAGGGGTCATTTTTTTTCTGTAATCTCCCAGTGCAGCCACCCACAGTCCCGGCAGTCAACACTCCCAGCTTCACGATCTGTCACAGCGACCACCTGGGCTCCCGGCCCTTCCCTTCAACAATTGCTTTATTCCAGGCACCACCACAGGTGATAACTTAAGTCACTTTTTCTATCTTTTGCTGTGTAATACAAAGACTTCATTTTATACTAGCATGAGGTCGCCCCTGCCCTCAAGCCTAATGGGTCAGGGAACCAATCCCAGATTGCCACCTTTGAACGTCAATTTTCTGAAACCTCTTGTTATACCAAATACTGTAACAGTCAGAGTTCACTTATGAAAACAGAAACCACTTTGGATATTTCAAGCATAAAAGGATTTAGTACAAGAAGTAGGTGCTTATAAAACCGCTCGAAAAGGTGGAGGAGTGAAAGTCAGGATGACAGCCAATAGCTTTCAGGTTCACTGCCACCGAGAGCAGAGATCTGCGGTCACCGGAGGCAGGGACGTGCAGGCAACTGCTGAGGCTCCTCCACTCCTCCACAGCCCCACAGTGTGCCAGAGGCAGGGAAATGCGGAGGCCACCGCAAAATCCTCCCCCAGGAAGCCATGCACGCATGCAGCCATTACTGCCACAGAACTGAGTCTCATGAGAGTTTGTTTCACTGGAGGAAGGTAAAATGTGCCTGGAGCCTCCTGGCAAGGGAGCCTGGAAAAGGTAGTTCCCAGGATCGGGGTCCCTGCCATCCAGGGGAGAGAGTGGAAACACGTTAAATGTGCTAAGTGCACATTAAGCTTGGCAGTCTGGAGGGCTGCAGTGGAACTGGAGATCGGAGATGAAAACTAGGAAGAGAAAGCAGACGACCTGTCTAGATGTCTGAAAGCGATCTGAATTAGGACATGCTAAAATTAAAGGACAGGGCAGAGAGAATCTGGAGTTCAGGCAATTCCTAAATAGGACTCCACCTTTCTTTTCTTTTTTTTTTTTCCCTAGGTTAGACTAATACAATTCCAAAATTACTCTGTGTCTTTGTGATTTTTCTGTTTGTATGCAACTGTTTGCATCCTAACATTTCTAATACTGAGGTAAATTAATCTGTCATTCTCTAAACAAGACAGAAGTTCTAAGCTCTTAGCCTCTGCATCCTGTCCCTTCACGGTTGTCAGCACTGACCCTCCAAACATGTATCAAAATACGATCTCTTTCAGTCAGCTTTGCCTGGAGAACCTGCTTCTAACTTACTCATTCTAATGGAATGTCCCTTCTGATAAATATTGCGTCTGTTTTATTTTAAACTTAACCTGGCTGAACCTTTGCTGCTTCTGTGGAAGCTCCAGAATTTCTCTGGGGGAGGGGTTTAGGTACATGCAATATTTTCAAGGGGGCAGCTGGGACCAATGTTTGTAATTGATGCCTTCTTTTTATAGTGATTAAGAACATGGCAGGCCGGGCACAGTGACTCACGCCTGTCATCCCAGCACTTTGAGAGGCCAAGGCAGGTGGATCACCTGAGTTCAGGAGTTCGAGACCAGCCTGACCAACAAAGTGAAACCCCATCTCTACTAAAAATACAAAAATTAGCTGGGTGTGGCGGCATGCACCTGTAATCCCAGCTACTCAGGAGACTGAGGCAGGAGAATAGCTTGAACCTGGGCAGCAGAGATTGCAGTGAGCCGAGATCATGCCACTGCACTCCAGCCTGGGTGACGGAGCGAGACTCCATCTCAAAAAAAAAGAAAGAACGTGGCACAGGAGTCAGACTGCCTGAGTATGAATCCTGATTCTGCCACTTGTTAGCTTTACAAGTCTGGGCAAGATGAACTGAGGCATCTTAAATTTGTAAAACAGAGATTGTGGCACCTAAGCATAGAGTAATATAAATACTAAATAAACTAATATCTGTAAAACACTTTGAATAATGTCTGGCACATGGAATACTCAATAAAAGCTAACTATTATTAGGTATCATTAGATTGTTCATTTGTGGATATCTTACAAAGGAGGGAAGGAAATACTTTTTAGGGGTCTTTTATAAAAGCTGTATTTGTATAGCAACCATATTGTTTCAAATTAGGTTTTATGTATATTCAGGTGGCTTTGAAGGGGCCAGATGGAGATTGGAGGAGGTAGGGCAAATCCCTTTTTAGCCCCTCCAAGTGCTGCTGTCCTTTCCCAAAAATGTTGTATCAGGGCCATTTAAACATTTTTGTAGATATAAGTAATTAGGATCATATTGTTAGAACATACTCCAATATATTTTCCCCTCTAGATAATTTGACGTTTTTCTCCTGCAACTTTTCCAAATTCAAACTTAGCCAAAAGCTGGAAGGAAATGATTTGATGCTTAAGAAGTCCCCTGGTGGCCAGGTGCAGTGGCTCACACCTGTAATCCCAGCACTTTGGGAGGCTGAGGCAGGAGGATTACTTGAGCCCAGGAGTTTGAGACCAGCATGAACAACATAGTGAAAACCCAGCTCTACAAAAGAGTACAAAAATTAGCCAAGCGTGGTGACACATGCCTATAGTCCCAGCTACTTGGGAGGCTGAGGTAAGAGGATCACTTGAGCCTGGGAGGTTGCAGTGAGTCAAGATTGTGCCACTGCACTCCAGCCTGGGCAACAGAGCAAGACCCTGTCTCAAAAAAACAGAAAACAGGCCGGGCACGGTGGCTCGCGCCTGTAATCCCAGCACTTTGGGAGGCTGAGGCGGGTGGATCACAAGGTCAGGAGATCGAGACCATCCTGGCTAACACAGTGAAACCCTGTCTCTACTAAAAATACAAAACAATTAGCAGGGCGTGGTGGCGGGCGCCTGTAGTCCCAGCTACTCGGGAGGCTGAGGCAGGAGAATGGCGTGAACCTGGGAAGCGGAGCTTGTAGTGAGCCGAGATCGCGCCACTGCACTCCAGCCTGGGTGACAGAGCGAGACTCAGTCTCAAACAAACAAACAGACAAACAAAACAGAAAACAAAAAAACTCTCATGGAGTCTAGCCCCAGGTTTTTTTCATGACCTGCGAATGAAGGAACTGGAAGCCAATTACCCCGTTCCCATCTTTGTTTTCTGCCGCTCCTTCAGTTGTCTTTGGGCTCTCTCTGTTGGCCTCAGCCAGAGTTGAAGCAAGCTTGGACTGTAAGCTCTCAGTCCCCAGGCAAACTGACAGTGTCCAAAGTGTAGGTACTTCCTTGATCATCTGGCTTGTCTGGCACACAGCACTGATGAGAAGACCTAGCTGAAGCTCCCCGGTGGAAAAGCTTCTATAAATTCTTCAAAAACAAAAGGGGAGCGCCTCTATCAAGGAGGATTAGAAGCAGGAGCATTCCTCTTTCCAGTGCCATCACTCTCCTTAGGTCCCCTGCAGCGTGTGTGCTGGTAAATGTTTAACAACTCACTTCTCGTGGCGCAAATGCACCCGCCAGAGCTGACTGCGTGTGACCAGCGTGAATCACTGTGTATAGAATGGGAAGCGATGGGCGGCACACCATTCCATACCATTCCCACCAGGCAGATGTGATAGGCGTACGTAACTCCGTGCGCAGAGATAATAGTAAAATGTGGTAAAGCAATTAGAAAGTAATGAGTTTGGAACATTTTTACCTTTGTTTTAAATATAATTTAGTTCACTGTAAGTTAATACACGTTAATTTTTAATGATGGCTGTGTTGCCAAAAATCCTGAAAATTCAGCAATGAGCTCTAGCACACAGGCATGCACTGACCCAGTACACCATTGGTTCCATCTCCTCAACAGCTCACACCACCACCCCCAACTCTCCCACCCCCAGCTCCCACGCTGCGGAGACCCCAGAGTCTATTTCCCTCCCCCGGGTCTCTCTTCCCCACCTCATTCAAGGTATGCTTTGCAGGCTTACTAATTATTCAGCAATGCCCAGAGGTCCAGTCTCCAGTGCCTATTCACAGGGATCTCACTTCCTGTGCCCTACCTGCTAAGCTCTGTTTGCAGGGGCTTCCTTCTCACACACCTGCTCCTGCCCAGCTATACTGGGTTCTCAGGACTTCTTGTCCAGGAAAGGAGGCCTCCAACTAGAGCAGGTTTTCTGCCCCATCCCTGCCTCAGAGGGTGGAGCCCCTCCACTTTGACAGCCTTGATCCCCTTGAACTATTCCACTTCCCACTCCTCCCCAGGCCCTTCCTAATGGGACTAAGTCATCCTCCACCCTCACCTACCTTCTGGCTGCTGTACCCTCCTCTCTAAGCTTGGGGATTCTGCCACTGCTCACAGCTGGAAGAACAACAGCCTACATGTCCAGGCCTTGCCCAGTCCAGATGATGCTTTAAAGGCCTTCTTCTTCTTCCTTTTTTTTTTTTTTTTTTTTTTTGAGATGGAGTCTCACTCTGTTGCCCAGGCTGGAGTGCAATGGCGTGGTCTCAGCTCACTGCAACCTCTGCCTCCTGGGCTCAAGCGATTCTCCCGCCTCAGCCTCCCAAGCAACTGGGACTACAGGCATGTGCCACCACACCAAGCTAATTTTTGTATTTTTAGTAGTGATGGCGTTTCACTATGTTGGCCAGGCTGGTCTCGAACTACTGACCTCGTAATCTGCCTATCTTGGCCTCCCAAAGTTCTGGGATTACAGGCATGAGCCACTGTACCCGCCCTAAAGGCCTTCTTTGAAAGAGAAAAAGAAGAGGTGGCATTCTGTGAAGGAACATCAAGGACCAGACATCCAGCTTCCCCTGTAGCCCAGGTCCCCCTAGCGGTGCTTCTCTTCAGATTGAGGACCTATTCTTTGGAGTTCCGAATTCCTAGTAGTCCAGCCCTCAGATCTCCACCTTGAGACTCCACCCTCAAGATTCTCATTTTCTGCCTTTCCCTTCTAAGGCTTAATCCCATCGGGACTAAGGGAGGAGCCTTCCCTTCCAGCCTCACACAGGCAGACTATCTCAAAAGAAAGAGAAAGCAATTTTCCCTTGCATGCTGGCTGTTTCACTTCCTTCTACTTTTAGGAAATGGTGAGTGATTTTGTTTAAAAGAGAATAATCTTGGAGTTTGAGTAGAGTTTGGGGAAAATGTTGACAACTTCTGGGACACACACTCTGTCCTTGTTGCCCCCATTCTCTTCAAGGCAGGAGGGATGATTATTTTGCTTCTTTCTCTCCAATGCAACCCAGCATCTGTCCTCCGTTCTGTTCTCAGTGGCAACTCTTCTGCCCAGAAGATGGACCTATTTACTCTATAACACATCATTCCCAGATATAGGCGCATTAGAGTTGGAAGAGAACTTGAATTAGTGTCTGACCACCTGTAATAGGCAGGGATCTATTTCCAGCGTCTGTGACAGCAGTCATCTAGCCTCTAATTAAACACTTCATGAGACATTGCTGTTCCACACTCACGCAGATTTAATTCTCTCTAGAATCTGCCCCAGCATGGCTTTGACTCTTGTGTTTTATGCCCCAGACCAACACAAAACCAGTCTATTCCCTCTCCACAGGCCAGCTTTTCATCTCAACTTCTCACTTAGTTTCTCTCTTGGCTCTGACCCTAACCTAAGGCATCGACACACAGTTTTGGGATTCTTCCCTCAAATCTAAATTGGCAATCCTTATGTTAGTCCAGACAACACCAAGGCAAGAACATATGTGGAGGGTGAAGGGCAGCACCTACATCCAGGGAGAGAACAGGGCCATCGATGAGGAGAGGGTCTATAGGGATCTGGGAGGTCAAGGGCTTGGTTGTTAATGGGATGGAAAATCAGAACAGGGTAGAAAATAGGCATGACAGGGAAAGAAGCTCAGTCTCACCTTAACTCTAACTGATCCAACAAGAAAGCTGAGCCACTTTCCTGAATCCCAGAAGATCTTATTTCTTCAAGCTGACATGACTGATTCTTTACTAGTCCATGTGTCAAGACCATCTGGGGTCCCTTAAACCAGTGGCTCCCAAACAATTTTTTTTTTTTTTTGAGACAGAGTCTTGCTCCGTCGCCCAGGCTGGAGTGCAGTGGCGTGCTCTCAGCTCATTGCAACCTCCACCTTCCAGGCTCAAGCGATTCTCGTGCCTCAACCTCCCGAGTAGCTGGGATTACAGGCTTGCACCACCATGCTTGGCTAATTTTTTTGTATGTGTAGTAGAGACAGGGTTTCTCCATGTTGTCCAGGCTGGTCGAGACTCCTGGCCTCAAGTGATCCTCCTGCCTTGGCCTCCCAAAGTGCTGGGATTACAGGTGTGAGCCACTGCGCCCAGCCCCAAACTTTTGTGTTCAGAAGAATTACCCGATGTAGTAAAAATGCACATCATGGTCCCCTCCCAAACCGATTCCCCTTGATTATCTGCCCCCTAGAGGAAGGGCACAATACTGTTTGGAGAGGAGCTTGATGGGCCTTCAACTTTTCTCTTACGTTCTTTAGTCGGAGAGTATCATGAATAGTTAAAAGAATAACACCATCCCCTGTAAACCCTGGTCTTGTAACTCCCCCATACCTGGGATATGGAATAATGCATGGGTTAAGGGCTTTAGGGGCTAGCTCTGGGGTCAGACTGCCTTGATTTAAATCGTTGTTCCACTACCTACTAACTGTCTGACCTGGAACTAGCTGCTTAACTTCTTTAAACCTCAATTTACCTATCTATAAAATGGGGGTAATATTAGTTTCTATCTCAAGGAGGTATTGTAAGGATTTTAGTACTAATTTATATGTGGCACTTAGCACAGTGCCTGGAATATAGTGAGCATTCTTAAATGACAGCCACTATTATTATCACTAGTATTACTCATAGTAGCGGTAGCGGTGAACAAAACCAAATTTCCAGTGGAGCCAACCAGCCACCCTTTCTTAACCAGCTGTAACTTCCAGTGAAATCACCACGATCATCCCCCCAGATTAACCCCACCTTCCAGTGGAATCACTGTGACCACCCCTCCAGGATCAACCACATTATCCAGCAGAATCACCGTGACCACGCCCCCTGGACCAACCACACCTCCCAGTGGAATCACTACAACCCCCCTGCCCTGGGTCCACTATATCTTCCAGTGGAACTAACACAACAACTGCAACCTCCAGTGTCACCAGCACAAGTGCAGCCCCTCCAGGGAATGAGGGAAGGTCTAATGGATGCCTGAGGCTGTGGGAAGTCATCCTAGTCACTCTGGCCTTGGTTGCAATGGCTGTGATTCTCTTCACAGGGCTCTTTTATTTCATGAGTGCCTGATGTGTGGGAAATCCTTTTTCTGAGGGAGGGAGTGCAGGGAACTGAGGAGGGAAGCAGGGTAGAGAGAGTAGGGTCATTGTGTGGCTAATAGGGAATGAGAAATCAGGAGAGGGACAAAGCAAGACAGAGACAGCAGGTGAGAACCAGCAAGAGAGAGGGCTAGAAAAGCTGGTACATGTTCAGAGGAAATTGATGAGGAGAGAAGGGGCCAAAGGAGTACTGAGGCTGGGGAGGCCGAATGGGGAGTGGGGACACGTGGGATGGGAGAGCACTGGAAGAGGGGCATAACTCTGAACGATCCATCCTTTTGTTTTCTAGAGAAACTCTCTGTGCCTAAGAAACCTCTTCACCAAAGATCTTCACATCCCAAACCTTGGTCCATGTCCTCAAGGATATCATGGAGTCCAAGATGGGTCAAGTGAGACTGAAACGGATTTTAGAGACCAGTGTTCTCCCACAGGCATGGAGCTGATGAGGAGACACAGTATCCCTAAAGGCAGGCACTTCACTGTCCTCAGGGTGGGGAGGACCAGCGGTCTCGGTTTTCCTCACTTGCCCCCAGGGCTGCTCCTCCCAGCTCTGCTCCAGCCCCTGACACTCCTACCTTCTGTTTAGTTCTCCCAGACCTGAAACAGGAGGCTATCGCTAGTGCTGAATGATTAAATAAGTGCATCTGCTCTATGTGACAGCCAGACTGTGGGTGTGTGCTTGTATATTGCTGTGAAGAGAGGTTTCCTATATCATGAGGACACTCTTTCGCTGTGTACTCCCAGTTCTCAAATCCTAGCATGAAATCCAGAGACCTCACATCTGTCCCATTTTCTTCCCCACTCCTTCCCTGCTCCCCGAGGCCTCTGGGTCGATGGAAGAATGGAGTCAGGAGAGATGGGGGAAGGCAGGTGCTGGTCTTTACAGACGTGTGTTGCATGGCAGGAAAACAGCCTCTGCGTGAGCCTAGAACATGAACTGGAGGAAAGTGATCCTGTTTTCATGTTGTGAGGTAGGAAAGAGCTTGCTACTGGGGCCACCCTTAGACATGGCCACTTTTCCTGGCCACTCACGTCTGCTCTGGGCTGCAGGTGTGAGTTGCCACCTTTCTCTCCTGTGGGCTCCCAGCCCAGCAACTGTCCTGGGCAGGGAGAATGTGCTCCCAGTTTTTGCAAGGGCAGGACTGGCTTGCCCTGCTACGGTCTAGATCCTCAGCAGCTCCCCCAAAACCAGGCCTCAGAGGGCACACATGCCAGTGTCAGCACCATGCTCAGGCCTGGTCCCACCCAGGCTTCTGGTGCAACTTGCTCTCGCACACGCACCCCACTGATTCTTCCTCCCTGTGAATCACTCGCCTCTGCTTTATCAGTTTCACCCTCTGCTAAGTCTCTTCAGCTTCTGGGATTCTCCTGGGTCTTTGGGAGAGCCTTAACAGGACCAAGCTGTTTCTCTAAGAACATTTTACAATATGATGAACAAAACTGTTTTTAGGCTGGGTGCGGTGGCTCATGATGCCTGTAATCTTAGCATTTTGGGAGGCTGAGGCGGGCGGATCGCCTGAGGTCAGGAGTTCAAAACCAGCCCAGCCAACATGGCAAAACCCCGTCTCTACTAAAAATACAAAAATTAGCCGGGTGTGGTGGCACATGCCTGTAGTTTCAGCTACTCGGGAAGCTGAGGTGGGAGGATTGCTTGAACCTGGGAGGCGGAGGTTGCAGTGAGCAGAGATTGCGCTACTGCACTCCACTGTGGGCAACAGAGAAAGACTCTGTCTCCAAAACAAAACAAACAAAAAACATAACAACAACAACAAAATCTATTTTTAACAGATGCAAGAGAGTATCTACTGTACAATTTATTTGCATGAAATTCAACAATAGGCAAAACTAATCTATGGTGGCAGAGATCAGATCTCCTATGAGGGTGAGGGTTTTTAGGAAGGGAGCACTTTCTGGGTGATAGGAATGTTTTCTATATCAACTGGTCTGTTGGTTACACAGGTAAATACACTTGTCAAAACTCAGCTAACAGCTGGGTGTGGTGGCTGACGCTTGTAATTCCAGCACTTTGGGAGGCTGAGGTGAAAGGATTGCTTCAGCCCAAGAGTTTGAGACCAGCCTGGGCAACATGGCAAGACCTCATCTCTACAAAACATACAAATATTAGTCGGGTATAGTAATGCACACCTGTAGTTCTAGCTACTTGGGAGGCTGAGGTGGGATGATTGCTTGAGCCCAGGAGGTCAAGGCTGCAGTGAGCCGTGATGGTGCCACTGCACTCCAACCCGGGCAACAGAGTGAGACCCTGTCTCAAAAAAACAAAACAAAACAAGAAACCTCCACTAACTGAATTCTTAAGATCTGTGCATTTCACTTTTTGTAAATTTTACCTCAATAGGAAGAAAAAATGTATATTCGGGTTTTTTATTTTGGGATTTTTTAATTTTTATTTTTATATTAGGGTTTTAAAATAATACCTTGAAGATATTTATCAGTGTATCCATTATCTCCTCTTCAGTTTTAAGAGCCCCCAGACCTTTTCGTAAAATAATTATCATCTTTTGCACTCATTTTTTCATTCATTCATTCACCATATTTACTGGACACCTGCTTGGCATGAGGTCTCAAGGAGCTGGGGCAGCTAGGATGGCCCTGTAGGTCACAGTTGGGTGAGGGAGGTACATAAGTTACAGGCCAACGCATCAAGTAGTATGAATGGAAGCACCACAGGAGGAAACATCTAACTTGATGAGGGGAGGAGAGGCTGACTCACATAGAAGGTGACATTTGGATTTTGAGGAGTTAGCAGGCATTTACGAGGAGCAGAAGAGGAAATGCCAGGCAAGCAAGCAGCTTGTGCAAGACTGGGCATGGCACGGCCAGTGAAGGTCAGAAGACCTGTGGGGCTGGAGAGCACAGCAGAGGGAGCTGGGGCTGGGGGCTAATGCGTGGCTTTGAACACCACTCCAAGGAGGCCAGATTTCATCCTTTAACAGCACAAAGCCCACAGATCACTTTAAGGTGTAGTGGGACACAATTTTTTCCCCAATAAGAACACTTCAATCAGCTGAGTGAGTAGAAAATAGAGGCTGGAAACCAGCAAAAATGGTGTTGTAATGCCCCTGCAAAGAAAGAAGCAAATAGACAAATCTAAGACCACAAAACATGGAAATGGGAAAGAAGAAAAGAAGTGGAGGCTGGGCACAGTAGCTCATGCCTGTAATCCTAACACTTTGGGAGGCCAAAGTGGGAAAACTGTTTGAGCCCAGGAGTTTGAGACCAGCCTGGGCAACAGAGTGAGGTCCTGTCTCTACAAAAAGTTAAAAAGATTAGCCAGGTGTGGTGGTGCACACCTGTAGTCCCAGCTGAGGTGGGAGGATAACTTGAGCCCAGGGGGTCAAGCCTTCACTGAGCTGTGATTGTGCCACTCACTCCAGCCTGGGTAACAGAGTGAGACCCTGTCTCAAAAAAAAAAAAAAAAAAAAAAAACGAAAACGAGAAGAAATGTGAATTTCAAGAGATTTCTGCCTAGCACTTTTTTAAAAATCCCCAACTCCAGAATTTATGGTGACTTTTGTTAAAAGTCCTGTTTTAGGGAGGTCTTCATCTAACGAGCTCTAGGCAATTTTCTTAAAACTAATTCATCAAATGACTAATTCTTTGAATTTTTAAATTTTGTTTAAATCCTATTCAGTGTGATTCCCTCCTGCTGCAGGCTGGAGGCTGGGAGACAGAGGGAGACTGGGGAATGTCTTCTTGATTTATAGCATGTTTTCTAGTTAAGAAAATACTCAAGATAAATATATTTATTTATAACAATTTTCACATGAAAGACTTTATTCAAAAATATGTGCAAGAAAAAATTATTTATTCTTGACTCTGATGAATAATTGCAAATATGATTCCTATGAATAGTATATAAATTATATCTAAAACTATAAGGCTACAGACTATACGATTCCCTTCATATGACATTCTGAAAATGGCAAAATTATAGGGAAAGAAACAAGATCCATGTTGCCAGGGTTTGGGAAGTGGGAGAAGGGTTGGCTCTAAAGGAACGGCATGGGGGGAGATTGAGGAGGATGAAGGGATTCAGTGCGCCGAATATGTGACTCTACCATTTATCAAAATCCATAGAACTGTACACTACAAAAAGTGATTTTTAGGGTATGGAAATTCAGCAAATCAACCAGGATGTGGAGGGAAAGATGGAAAGCAGACTCTGACAAATGACTCATGTAAGCACAGTGAAACGGATGGAGAAGAAGGAGCTGGCCTAAGTAACTTTGAAAAACTGTTTTGAGTCAGGCATGGTGGCTCATGCCTGTAATCCTACCACTTTGGGAGGCCAAGGCAGGAGGCTTGTTTGAGTCCAGGAGCTTGAGATCAGCCTCAGCAACACAGCGAGAACCCCGCCTCTACAAAAAGTTAAAAAAATTAGCTGGGCATGATGGTGTGCCTGTAGTCCTAGCTGCTCAGGAGGCTAGGATGGAGGGATCGCTTGAGTCCAGGAGATCAAGGCTGCAGTGCTACTGCACCCCAGACTGGGTGACAGAGCAAGACCCTGTCTCAAATTTAAAAAAGAAAAAGAAAAGAAAAACTGTGTTTTGACCATAAAGCTAAAGACAAAAAAAAAAAAAAAATACAGAAACACTGTACTGTAGTTGGTAAATGTGTTTCTGGCAAGGGTATGAATTAGCAGTTCTGAAACCACTATTTGTTTATTAGGGTTGAAAAAATAAGTAAAAAAATATGTTTATAGACATTCGTAGCCATGTCAGAGAAAGGAGTTACAAATAAAGAAAAGGGAGAGACTAGAATGAACCCCATGTTGCTGGATTAAAGCTGGAGGTGTCAAAATGCACCCATGCTTGTGTTTAAAACACAGGTTGAGCAACCCTCATCTGAAAATCCAAAATGCTCCAAAATCCAAAACTTGCTGAGCACCAACATGACACCACAAGTCAACATACACAAACTTTGTTTCATGCACAAAATTATTTAAAATATCACGTAAAGTTACCTTCAGGCTACATGTATAAGATATATATAAAACATAAACAAATTTCATGTTTAGACTTGGGTCTCATCCACAAGATATCTCATTGTGTATATACAAATATTTCGAAATCCAAGAAATTGAAAATCCAAAACACTTACGGTCTCAAACATTTCAGATAAGGGATTCAATCTGTATATGCAGACAGGTAATTGCAGAAATAAATACAGACCTGTGTTTATGCATGAGTTAGTTTACATACATACGTTTCCTAGCTCTAACTTCCGTGGGGGCAAGAAGCAGTGACACCCACTATGAATGAGCACACCTAGTACCCAAATCTTGGTTTCTAAATATTATTCTCTAATACAAAGAGGAGCCAGAGCTCTGTGGAGAAATAGTTGATTCCAGGGCCTGGATGGACAAAATAAAAAATGAGCATGAAGCATCTTGTAATACCAGAATGCAAGAAAGTGTTTTAAAAAGGGATGGAGAGGGCCATGCACAGTGTCTCATGCCTGTAATCCCAGCACTTTGGGAGGCCCAGGCCCGGGGATCACCTGAGGTTCGTGAGTTGGAGACCAGCCTGACCAACTTGGAGAAAACTCTCCCTACTAAAATAATACAGAATTAGTTGGGCATGGTGGTGCATGCCTGTAATCCCAGCTACTTGGGAGGCTGAGGCAGGAGAATCACTTGAACCCAGGAAGCAGAGGTTGCAGTGAGCCGAGATTGCACCATTGCGCTCCAGTCTAGGCAACGAGAACGAAATTCCATCTCACACAAAAAAAACAAAAAAACAAAATACCACGGATGGAGAGGCTGGGCACAGTGGCTTGAGCCTGTAATCCCAGCACTTTGGGAGGCCAAGACAAGTGGATTGCTTGAGCCCAGGAGTTTAAGACCAGCCTGAGCAATATGACAAAACTTTGTCTCTACAAAAAAAAAAAAAAGTTAGCTGGGTGTGGTGGCGCACACCTGTTGTCCCAGCTACTTGGAAGGCTGTGGTGGGAGGATTAGTTGAGCTCAGGATACGGAGATTACAGTGAGCCAATATTGCACCACTGCACTCTAGCATGGGCAACAAAGTGAGACCCTGTCTCAAAAAACAAAACAAAATAGCAATGGAGATATCAGCTGGGTGTGCTGGTGCATGCCTGTAGTCCTAGCTACTTGTAGGAGGCTGAGGCAGGAGGATCCCTTGAGCCCAGGAGTTTGAGGCTGTATGATGATGCCACTGCAATTCAGCCTAGGAAACGCAGTGAAGTCTTGTCTCATAAATAAAACAAAACAAAAAAAGGATGGAGGACATTAAAACGGCACTGGAGCCCATCTGAAAGAGCTCCCAGTGGCCAAAGTTTGAGCAACAAAATAAATAGTGATAGTATTGGATCATAACTCACAGAACAAAATAAACATTTATGAGTCCATTCTGATATAAACAAATAGTTGAATAAATAAAATGGGGAGAGGGCACGACTTTTTCTTACAGAAGAATTTCAATTAATAAATGTAGAAGGAATCTAATCTATCACCATTAGGATTACACACCTGTAATCCCGGGTGCTCGGGAGGCTGAGGCAGGAGAATTACTTGAACCTGGGAGGGGAAGGTTGCTGTGGGCTGAGATCGTGCCATTGCACTCCAGCCTGGGCAGCAAGAGTGAAACTCTGTCTCAAAAAAATATATATAGTATTGTACCAACAATAACTTCTTAGCTTCTATAATTGTATATATAATCTCTCAGTTTCTATAATTGTACTATGTAAGATATTGACATGAGGAAAAGCTAGGGGAAAAATATACGGGAACTCTGTTAATTATTTTTGTAATTCTCTGTAAGTCTAAAATTATCTCAAAATGAAGTTTTAAAAATTCTAAAACAAAGCCAAACCAAAAAAATTCTATTGACCTGTACATGAAAAAGGGTGAATTTTATCATATGCAAATTATACCTCTTGACTTAGAAAATCAGATATTTTCCTTACTATACTCTTTTGAAATCTATTCATTAGTTATACTAAATACATACAAATTCTTTTGAGTGTGTTTAAATACTATGTTTGAAAATGTTGCTGGGTGATGTGGCTCACACCTGTAATCCCAGCACTTTGGGAGGCTGATGAGGGAGGATCTCTTGAGCTCAGGAGTTCGAGACCAGCCTGGGCAACATAGTGAGACCTTGTCTCTACTAAAAATAAAAAAACAATCAGCTGGGCATGGTGGTGCATGCATATAGTCCCAGCTACTCCGGAGGCTGAGGTGGAAGGATCACTTGAGCCTGGGAGATCGAGGCTGCAGTGAGCCGTGATAGCACCACTGCACTCCAACCTGGGCAATACAGCAAGACCCTGTCAAAAAGAAAGAAAGAGAGAGAAAGAGAAAGAGAAAGAAGGAAAGAAAGAAAGAAAGAAAGAAAGAAAGAAAGAAAGAAAGAAAGAAAGAAAGGAAGGAAGGAAGGAAAAGAGAAAATATTTAATACATTCAAATAATACTAGTAGTTAACATAGTCAGTTACATGTGGTAAACTAGCCATTCATTAAATTGATTTTCAGGAAATCAGCTGCCTTCTAAGAGAGGAACAATTCCCGGCCCACCTGCAATTTCACACTCCTCTTTTAGTTAGAAGGACACTGGGAAAGAGAGAGGCCCCACAAATGGTGAGAGACATCTCTGAATGAAGATGGGAACCAACAATGATCTTCTAAAGAGTGGGCAAGGCAGGGATAAGGGTCAGAGAAGGAGGAAAAGATGTGGGTATTCTCATTCAGGCCTGACCTCACCACAAGTGGACTAATTTTGTGCAGTGATATGGCTTGGCTCTGTCCCCACAGAAATCTCAACTTGAATTGTAGCTCCCACAATTCCCCTCATGCTGTGGGGAGTTTTTCTCTTTTCGCCAATCATCTTTCTCTTGCTATTCTCATGACTGTGAATAAGTCTCATGAGATTTGATGGGTTTATCAGGGGTTTCCGCTTTTGCTTCTTTCTCATTTTCTCTTGCCGCCACTGTGTAAGAAGTGCCTTTTGTCTCCCTCCGTGATTCTGAGGCCTCCCCAGCCATGTGGAACTGTAAGTCCAATTAAACCTCTTTTTCTTCCCAGTCTTGGGTATGTCTTTATCAGCAGCGTGAAAACAGACTAATACATGCAGTAATTGAGAAAGCTCACTGGGGTGAGGGCACTCGAGCAGGGGGAGCAAGGAGAGAGATCCGTGGGCTGGAGAGAAGCCAAGGAAGAGGATTTGGGTGGATGATTGAGCAAAGAGCGAGGTTTTAAGAGACAGAGAGATTGGGTGTTTTAGCCCCCTCGTGAGTGTTCCTCTCCTTCTGTTGGAGGACCTTCTCTTGGTCCTTACCAAATGTCCTCTACCCTCTGACACCCAGCTCTCCTCTTGCCAAGCATCATCCCCCAGGCAGGCCTGGCCTATGCCCTCCTTGGTCATCCTGACTTTACTGTGGCCACCTGTGGGAAGGAAGGCCGAGGCCCTCCCTGAGCACTGAAACACCGGGTGGAGGATGGTTTTCAACTAGGCTCCACATCAGAAAGCAGTGCACTCACGCTGACAGGCTTGATCCCCTGTGGCTGCTCGACTCTGGGCTCTGGTCCAAAGCTGAGAGCCCCCCTTCCCCTCATGACAGCCTCTTCTGCCCTGCCCGGCCACTCCTTTGAGTGACAGGGGGTAATTGAGAAGCTGCTCCTCCCTCCAGGAAGGAAGACCCGGAGCTCTGGCTTCCCTCGGCAAAGCACATATAAACCCACAGCCACTGCGGGTGGAAGGAGAAGGGCAGGGTGGAAAAAGTTTGAGAGAAGGAGGGAGGAAAAGGTGTCCTGGCTAGCACCATGTGGATTCTCTTGAGATGAGAAGAAAATGCCCCGCTACGTCCCCCTTCTGCTGCTCCTGCTTCTCCTGAGGTGTTCAGAACGGGGTGGAGGAGTTAATTTTGGTGAGAAGGATGCAAAAGTCCCCGGGACCTGGAGAGATGGAGTCAGGGTCCCTGGAGAAGGAGCCTCTTGGGACTCAGACAGGGCCAGTCCCGAGCGAAGGTACGGAATAGGTGAGTGAACCTTGGGAACTCCGGACCCTGTTATCTACCCTCAATCACCTGCCACAGGGAAGCAGGGACCCCAGCGTCTTTCTCATATCCCCTTTTAAGGAAATGCTCTGCTTTTGATTTTGTGCATTTTATTTAAGTTTCTTTGTTTCAACTTTCCTGGAGAAATGAAAAATTTGGCACTCCTCTAATCCCAGCGCTTTGGGAGGATGAGAAGGAGTGGGATCCCTTGAGCCCAGGAGTTTGAGACAAGCCTGGGCGACATAGTGAGACACCATCTCTACAAAAACCAAAAAAATCAGCCAGGCGTGGTAGCCCATGCCTGTAGTCTAATCTACTCGGGAGGCTGAGGTGGGAGGATCACTTGAGGCCAGGAGGCCAAGGCTGCATTGAGCCATGATTGTGCTACTGAACTCTAGCCTGAATCACAGAACAAGACCCTGTGTCAAAAGAGAGAAAGAAAAAGAGAAAGAAAAGAAAGAAACGGTCAGGTGCAGTGGCTCATGCCTGTAATCTTAGCACTTTGGGAGGCTGAGGCGGGTGGGTCATCTGAGGTCAGGTGTTTGAGACCAGCCTGGCCAGCATGGTGAAACCCAGTCTCTAGTAAAAATACAAAAATTAGCTGGGTCTGGTGGCGCACGCCTGTAATCCCAAATACTTGAGAAGCTGAGGCAGGAGAATCGCTTGAACCTGGGAGGTGGAGGTTGCAGTGAGTGGAGATCGCGCTATTGCATTCCAGCCTGGATGACAGAGGGAGACTCCGTCTCAAAGAAAAAAAAAAAAAAGAGAGAGAGAGAGGGAAAGGAAGGAAGGAAGGAAGGAAGGAAGACTTGAACCCTATTAGAAAAATGTGGAGCGTCAGCAGTAGGGAGGGATGACTAGATTTGGGCAGAGTACCAAAAGTTCAAAATTTATGCCATGTAAGCTACATGTATTCCTAAGAATAAGAATACTCCCAAGTCCTGACGGCTGCCTGGGGCAGTGAGGGCTGGAGACGAAGAGGACTCATCTCTTCTTTGTACTTATACCTGACTCAGTGTTGCCCTCAGTCCAACTAGATCACACCCACACCCCTCATGACTCCTCCCCTAAGCCTGCCCCCATACCACCTTGAATCTTCCCTGCCTCCAAGCCTACCACGTTAGCCCCAGATCTGACCCAGAAGCTGTCTCATGCTTTTTTTTTCCTTTTTTGAGATGGAGCACCTGGCCAGCTGTCTCATTTTAAATCATATACCAAGCATGACCTGAGTGTAATCTCTAACATGAATCACAGCTTCTGCCTCATTGGTTTGCCAGAACCGCAGGCACAAATGGATGAGAGGAGACACCTATGAACATGGAGCCAGAATACCCCAATTGCTGAAACACCAGTTCAGAGAGGAGTGAGCTTGAGAAAGAGTCAGGTTTAGTGTCCCACGGAAAGAGACCAGACCTGGAAAAGACAGAGTCAAAGCTGGGTGAGCAGGCCTTCGAAGGGCGTGGCTCAGCAAAGATAATCCATATTGTAGTGCAAGAGGATTCTTTGTGGAATATGTTTTACCAGAATTAAACCAAAAATGCCAAATGATCCCTAACTGGAATAAATCTCACCACATTACCTGGGGAGAGGTGTCATTTGGATGTGAGGATAGTTATGAAAATACTGAGCAGAGCAGATGAGGATAGGCCATCAACAATTCACATTAAATGAGATTACTTTTTAGTAGGACTAAGCCAAAGCATTTCCACTAAGCACCCAGAGACCAGCCCTAAAGACTCAAGAATAAGAGAAAATGATGTAACTGCAGATGGAAGGACCACTGAGGACCACATCACTGCAGACCCAGGGACCACCGAGGACTCTGTCACTGCAGACCCAGGGACCACTGAGGACAATGTGACTGTGGACCCAGGGACCACCGAGGGCTCTGTCACTGCAGACCCAGCGACCACCAAGGACTATGTGTCTGCAGACCCAGGGACCACCAAGGATTCTGTCACTGCAGACCCAGGGACCACTCACTGAGAACTTTGTCACTGCAGACCCAGGGACCACCAAGGACTCCATCACTGCAGACCCAAGGACCACAGAGGACTCCGTCACTGCAGACCCAGGGACCACCAAACACTCCATCACTGTAGACCCAGGGACCACTGAGGACTCTGTCACTGCAGACCCAGGGACCACCAAACACTCCATCACTGCAGACCCAGGGACCACCGAGGACTCCGTCACTGCAGACCCAGGGACCACAGAAGATGAAACCACTAAACATGGTGACACTCACCTTCTGTGAACTACTTCAGTCACAGCAGTGAAACCCACCAGGCTCCTGACACCCATGGGAATTATCCTCATATCCCTGGCTGCAACCACAGTCACTGTTGTGCTCTTTGTTGGATTGGGCTTCATTGTGGTGAGTATTTGGTCTGGGAATATTCAGGGCATCAGGGGAACGAGGCCAACTGAGGATAAGCGGTGGGCATGGAGAGCTGAGGTACAGAGGCCCAAGAAATCGTCAGGCGTGAGGAAGCCTACATAGAGAGAGCTCTGCAAAGACTCCTGGAAAGACAGAGGTGGAGAGAAAGGAAAAGAGCACCTGGCACAAAAGATGCAGAAAGCATTGGGGACAGAGGAAGCTGTGAGAGACAGGAAGGAGAGAAAGGGAAGAGAGGCTGAGAGTGAGAAACATAAGAACACAAACATGGTAAGACACAGCGGGAGTCAGGGCAAAGCATGAACCGTTAGGTACAGATGGATGTAAAAGAGGAAATTTTCCTAAGAAGACAAGGAACTGGGGACCAGAGGAGTGGATGAATTAGAAACATTCTGGGTGGTCCACTCATATCAGAAATTACATATTCTTGTGTTAATTACTACCTACTCTGAAGTTCTGAAGAAGATTTTTTTAAAACCAAAATTGAGTGGGTTTTTATGAGCCACCACTACCCTGCACCAAAGAGACAGTTTGTACCAGCTCTCAAAGAGGAGCTCTGGGTATTTTTCTGTCTCTGAGGGTCCCTGTTGTTTCTACAAGAGGAGACAAAAGAATTCCATGCCAGCCCTGCATGTTTCATCTCACCAAACTCCCAGCTGGAATCATCCCAAAAGCAGCAGCAGGGAAATTCCCACAGGGAGTGGCCCAAACCCTCCAGAGATGGGGCCAATTGGGATTCCAAAGAAAGAAGCCCAGATGTCAGGGTGATCAATTCAAAGCATTTATTAGGGGAACTTACAGAGGACTGCAGCAATCCTCCCTGCCGACAGGGAGGGAAAAGGGATGTTCTGCCTAAGCATGTCTGTAGCAAGGGGGTCAGGGTATGGAGTTTATATGAGGGTTTAGGGAATTTGACTCAGGGCTGGAGCCAGTTTCTTTCAACGTTTTGGGCAACAACCTAGATACCTTTATTAGTGCCTGGGAGTGTTCAAGGCCCTGGTTTGAGTTCAAGCCTGCTGGGGAAAACCTGCAGCTGGCTGGGTCACAGAACGGTCAAGGCAATCTGTGATTTTTGGTCAGTCTGATCAGAAAGAAAAGGAGGTGATCTGGGGGACCCCACATTGTGGCTTCCTCTCGCTAACATTTGATCTAAAACCCAAGCCTCCTGCTTCTGGCCTGCTGCTTGAGGGGGAAGGGCTGGTCCTTTTTGGCCATCCTGACCTACGGATTAAGTGCATGTCGAAATTTTAACAAGTGGCGGCTTGCAGGATTAGCCAACTCGGGCAGGTCATTAAAGCCTCGTTAATTCTTGCGGTCATTGATGCCATTGTGCACTGACCCCTGCTCCAAGATGCAAATCCACAGCTTTGGATCAGTTTGTAAGTGTGAGTAAAGCCGAAAGTAATGCATGATACAGATGAGGTGTTCACATTTAATTCTGCTAAAATGACACCATGAAACTAGAGCATTCTGAAGGATGCTGACAAGAGGAAAATGGAATGAAAGCGTCCATATGTACCTGACTCATGCATGAGTCATGTTCAGTATTCACCAGTAGAGGGAGGACCTTCTGGACTTCGCTGTTACCATAAACAATTGGATTTCTGATCATGTGGATCACCATGAAAAGTTGGACACTCTTGCTCTAGAACAAAAGATGCTTTCCTTCCTCCAAACCAGGCATTGGCCCAGAGAGGTCACTAGCATTAGCACCTTCTTAATTTCATGTAGAGACTAAAAACAAGAGATGGCTCAAAAGGCTCAGGGTGTGGGAAGTAAGAGGAAAGTCTATGCTCCCAAACTTGCTAAATTTTTGACTTTTAAACCTTTAACTCGAAAAGTTTTAAAAATAAGAACTATATTACCATTCCTCCCAAGTTTCATTTGTCAAAATGCTTTTTTCTTTAAACTTTAATGGTTTAAGTTTTTTTTAAGTTGTTTTAAAAAAAACAAAAAAGGTTTAAGTTTTTTTTGGCAGGGTGCGGTGGCTCACGCCTGTAATCCCAGCACTTTGGGAGGCCGAGGTGGGTGGATCACGAGGTCAGGACTTTAAGGCCAGCCTGGCCAATATGGTGAAACCCCATCTCTACTAAAACTACAAAAAAGTTAGCCAGCCATAGTGGTGGGCACCTGTAATCCCAGCTACTTGAGAGACTGAGGCAGAGAATTGCTTGAACCCGGGAGGCAGAGGTTGCAGTGAGCTGAGATCGTGCCATTGCACTCCAGCGTGGGCAACAGAGCGAGACTCCATCTAAAAAAAAAAAAAAACAAAAGGCTTTTTTTTCCCCCTAAATGTCGTCCACATTTTTGGCAAGTATTGATCTCTAGTAGTCAGTGTCAGGATCTGAAGAAAACAGTGACATCTAGCAGACTCCCAGAGCCAGGGAAACAGGCTGGGCAGAAGTGATAAATTACAAACCACCAGGGTTAAGAGAAGAACAGAGTGTTAAAACCAAACCATTTTCTTCCTCCCTAGAAAGAGTGTTTCCTGCCTCCATTAAATCCATCCACCAGGGTTATTTATCATCCCCATGTCATGGACTACAGTACACCATAAAGAGGACCCCAGCAGTGACTACAGTTGGTTCTAGAAAAAGGAGACCCCTCATCCGCCTCTGCAAGACTATGCAGCATGATGTGTATCCTCAGGCCTCCACTCCTCCGCCCTAGTCTGGAGCCCTGGGACCACCACATGAGGAAGGCAGCTGGCCCCTGGAATAAGCATGTGGAGGACACTCAGAAGGATGCCCATCTGCTCTGAGTGTCTCCTAATTCTGCCTGACCTTGGTTACTTCCTCTGGACAATCGCCTTTACCTATCTACCAGGTTTTGAGGAATTACACACAGCTCAGGTATAAGAGATATTCGGTAAGTCTGATCAAATCAATAAAGCAAATTTTATCTGTTTTTGTCTGGGACATATCTCTACATTCATTCATTTAACCAAAAAAAAAAAAAATGTTTTTTTTGAGACGAAGTTTTGCTCTTTTGCCCCGGCTGGAGTGAAGTGGCGCGATCTCAGCTCACTGCAACCTCTGCCCCCCAGGTTCAAGTGATTCTCCTGCCTCAGCCTCCCTAGTAGCTGGGATTACAGGCGCATGCCACCACGCCTGGCTAATTTTTGTATTTATAGTAGAGACAAGGGTTTCACCATGTTGGCCAGGCTGGTCCCGAACTCTTGACCTCAGGTGATCCACCCGCCTTGGCCTCCCAAAGTGCTAGGATTACAGGCATGAGCCACCGCACCTGGCCTTAACAAAATATTTATTCAGTGCCTAGCATGAGCTCAACACTCTACGTCTCCCAGTCTGTCTATCTCAGTCTACCTGTAAGCTGAAGGATACAACTTATCTCTTAAGAGGACTATGCCCGCGTTCTCCTACCACCCAGGCCAAAGGGTCACATTTACAGGATGTAGTCAACTGGTCATTCAGCAAGTATGTATGAGCACCTGTGTGGGACTGGCCACCGTAGCAAATAAATGAGTCTCATCTTAGTCAATCGCGGTGTGAAATGAGGACACGAAGTCCAGACCTAACCTCTAAGAGAAAAGCCCTGCCTGATAGAAGAAGAGATTTGTCCTTACTTAATGCAAATGCACCATATTCATGCACCTATGAATGATGGCTAAGACCACAGACAAGGCCGGGGCATTGGATATAACAGCTCTGTGAGGAGCTCAGGACAAAAACCAAAGAATCAAAGATATGTGAAGACAGTTGATTATTGTTTGCTCACTACTGATGCCACTATGAGCAGCATCACCACCAGTGTTAAATAATGGAATTGTAGTATTATGATACAGAGTCGGAAACACGGAATAATAAATTAAAATACTAAAGTGAAAAAATTGGATTGATTAAATAAATATTAAACCAATATTTCTCAGACTTATGTGATAAACACCTTTAAAGGAAAAGATACATATATATTTTTGAGACAGAGTCTCATTCTGTTGCCCAGGTTGGAGTCCAGTGGTGCGATCTTGGCTCACTGCAACCTCCACTTCCTGGGTTCAAGCGATTCTCCTTCCTCAGCCTCCGAGTAGCTGGGATTACAGGCGTGCACCACCATGCCTGGCTAATTTTTGTATTTTTAGTAGAGATGGAGTTTCACCATGTTGCCCAGGCTGGTCTTGAACTCCTGACCTCAGGTGATCCACCCGCCTTGGCCTCCCAAAGTGCTGGGATTACAGTGTGGGCCACCGTGCCTGGCTGGAAAAGAGATTTTTTGAGAACTCGCCATGTTGGCTTAAACGTAAATATATATGAAACAGAAAATGAAGTATAAACTCCTTATGCTTATAGCTCTACTGTTCCAATAACGTTAGAAGTAACAGCAGTAGTTTAATGTAATGCATGATATTTCTTTACTGAAGAATTCTTCGCTCCAACATTAATATTGTAGTGATTGCTACAGCCTAGTTTCTCAAATCTCATTTGCCACTTGATGTTTTCCTTCTTTCATGGATCGTCTCTGTACAAGCTCTCTCAAGACCTTCAGTCTCTCAGTCAGCTGCGGGATTATTGGGCCCTTAATGCAAATGCACCGTTTAAATTTTAAGACAGTTCTCGTTCTACTCTTGTTAGGCTGTGCAATTGTAAAGACTAATCATTTCTATTAGCTTTATGTTGGTTTTATATTGGTCATCAATAGAATCCAGGAAATGCTTATATTATGGGGATTTTCAAGATTATTACCTGAAGGAAAACGTGACAGAAACAGCTCTAGTCTCCCCTTCCCTTACACTTGGAGAACCTGAGTTTTGGGGGTGATGGTAATGTGCCCAGCTGAAGAAAACCATTTCCCAAATCCCCAATTTCCCGGTCCCCCTTGCAGCCAGTGCAGTGAGGAGATACAGCTCTGGCCAATGTGATAAAGGCATAAGTTCCTGGGGATGGTGTCCCTTCCAGATGAAAAGGCCAAAGCTCATGAGGAGAAAGCCCTTTGCCCCTTCCCCTTCGTTCCTCTTCCTACCTGGAATGCAGATATGAGACCTGGGGCTCAGCAATGCTGAGGTCAGGGGGAGACCCACAGCAGGGTGAAGGCTTCAAGCTGAGAGTGGAGCAGAGGGAAGAAATCACTTGGGTGCCCGATGGCAATACTGAGCCCTGGGCTGCTCCTCTCGGACATTTCGTATATGAGATGAGCAGTGTGCCGGAGCTCAGTGAGGTGAGCTTCTTGTGATTCCAGCTAAATGGGATCCTAAATGATATGACACATAAACATCATCTAGAACATGCAGACTTCTGCGAATATCTCCATGACACATTTGGGAAGACACAGTGCTCAGGATTTTAAGAATGTGGGAGCTACACATAGTGGGGAATGGGAGAATAATAAAATGATCTCCCTCTTCTGCCCCCATGGAGGCAGCAAGTGGCCAAGGGAGAATTTTGTGATTAGAGATACTTGCATGAATATCAGTTTATTGCAGGAAAAAAGAGTGACAGAAGAGTCTCTTGGTTAATATACAGGCAGGAAAAGTCCAATGTGTTTCTATAAAATCTTCCTCCTGAAGTTCAGGCTGGGGTTTGGGGCTGGGCATTTGTCAAAGGGTATTGGCAAGCACAAGGAATTCCAGAATCTGCCTTGGTCTTCAAGGGGGCAGAACTTTTGGTCTCGGTACAAGCTAGGTTTGTGCAATAAACAAAGGAATTGCTAGAGCTACAAATTCTAGCTGAGAAGTCTGTGTGCTTGAGTTTCTGCACCTCAAGGACAACTTAGAGCAATTGAAGAGACCATGAAATCTCTGTAAATGGCATAGAAACTTTAGCATGCAAAAGCATGCATGCAAAAACGCTAGCATATCAAAAGCTTTTCTTTTCTTTCAATCAAGTTAATTTCTGGCCAGGCAGGATGACACACCTGTAATCGCAGCACTTTGGCAGACCGAGGTAGGAAGATCACTTGAGCTCAGAAGATCTACACCAGCCTGGGCAACATGGTGAGACCTTGTCTCTACTAAAAATAAAAAAAAAATTAGCCGAGTGTGGTGGCACATGCCTGTAGGCTCAGATACTTGGGAGGCTAAGGCAAGAGGCTCGCTTGAGCCCAGGAGGTGGAGGCTGCAGTGAGCCATGACTGTGCCACTGTACTCCAGCCCGGGCGACAGAGCAAGATCCTGTCTCAAAAAAAAAAGAAAAAAAGAAAGAAAGAAAGAAAAAGGCTGGGCACAGTGGCTCACGCTTGTAATCCCAACACTTTGGGAGGCTGAGGCAGGAGGATTGCTTGAGGCCTGGAGTTCAAGACCAGCCTGGGCAACATAGTGAGACCTCGTCTCTACAAAAAAATTAAAAATTAGCTGGGTATGGTAGTGTATGCCTGTAGTCCCAGCTACTTGGGAGGCTGAGGTGAGAGGATTGCTTGAGCCCAGGAGGTCGAGGCAGCAGTGAGCTGTGATCATGTCACTGCCCTCCATCTTGGGCAACAGAGAGAGACCTTGTCTCGAAGAGAAAAATAAAAGAAAGAAAATGTTAATTTCTGCTCCTGTCAGATTAGAGGGAAATTCAATCTCAGTCTTTTTGCTGCTCTCCAAAGATCCCAGAGTTGTACATAGGATTGAAGCATAAGGAACATCCTTAAAGTCAGTAGCAACTGGCCTGTACTAATTATTCCCAGGATACGCATATCCCTTTGTGGCAGCAGTTCTGCCAGAGGCACAGGGGCTTTACCCAGTCAGTCTCCTTCAACTTGCCACGTAGCTTTCTCCAGAATAAGTCCACCCCCTCAGGGTGCTACCGTGAAGGAGAGTATGGTTTTGGCATTTGAGAGCCCAGAGAGATATACATGAAGATCTGGTCTCTGGAGAGTATTGAAGGTAGAAAAGACAAGGAGAAGATGCTGCAGAACACCCATAAGGGAAGAAAAAAAAAATGAAGCCTCAATGAATAAGGGAAATACCTTTCTAACCACTCCTGGGACCTGAACTACAAGATTTGGTAGTTGACTCTCAAACCATAATATACTCATACTCAGATGACACTTATAAGTTGTCGCACATATCTGTGCATTCCATGCCTTTGGTAAATGCATACAGTTAATCATACAGCTAATCCTCCTTTTCTCTTTATGAAGTCCAGTGTTTAAAGGACCTCTTCAGGTGTCATCAAGGAGTCATACCAGGTCCAGCTGAACCCAACTTGCACAAGTCCAGATTGAGGACACCAGGCAAGTAAGCACACCCCTCTAGATTGTGCCTGAACAGGATTTATGCCTTTTGGGGAGTGTCACCTCTCATTAAAACGTCTGCGAATGCACACTCTGGTCCAGTCCCCTGTCTTTCTAAACAAGAATGTTTGGTGAAGCAACAGTGATTCAACACTCTCCCTTAGCGAGGTATTGTTTGACACCTTAGAAAACACGTAGTTATTTTTCAGATCTATTCAGGACCTTTCTTGTGATTCATCTAAAACAAACCCCTCTCTTCAGTCTCTACAGATTACCATATTTATTTTCTTTATGGAGCTGACGACAATCTGAACTTATGCTTATTTACGTGTTAACTTATTTGTTTTATGTCTGTCTCCTTCCACTAGAATGTCAGTTCCTTGAGAATAGGGGTTTTGAGGACAATATATGAGATAGATTAGATATTTAATAATCATATGCTTCATTGAGCCTCTGATGCACATCTTCCCCATTGGATCGTAATCTAAAATTGAGATGTCGGATGGGCGTAGTGGCTCACACCTGTAACCCCAGCACTTTGGGAGGCTGAGGCAGGTGGATCACTTGACGTCAGGAGTTGGAGACCAGCCTGGCCAACATAGTGAAACCCCGTCTCTACTAAAAATACAAAAATTAGCTGGGCGCTGGTGGCACACACCTGTAGTCCCAGCTACTCAGGAGGCTGAGGCAAGAGAATCACTTGAACCTGGGAGGTGGAGGTTGCAGTGAGCCGAGATTGCACCACTGCACTCCAGCCTGGGTGACAGAGTGAGATGCTGTCTTAAAAAAATAATAATAAAAATAAAATGGAGATGTCCACTGGCTGCAGTGGTTCAGGCCTGTAATCCCAGGACTTTTGGAGGACAAGGTGGGAGGATTGCCCAGAGCTAGGAGTTAGAGACCTGCCTGGGCAACATCGCAAGACACTGCCTAAAAAAAAAAACCAAGAAACGTTTAAAAATGGAAAAGTGTCTTACACTTGATAGCACATCATGAACCAGTCAGTAGCACTCTTTCTTCCTTAGTGGGGCATAAGTAATGCTGCATCTTGCATTCAACGTCATCTTAGATGGGATGAAATACACATTTTGGAATAAACGAATAAATGTATGCTTTCTTTTGGTGCTATTTCTTCTGTTTTGGTCTTATTTGTAAACACAAGGAAATTAGGATTCCTTTTTTTTTTTTTTTGAGACAGAGTCTCACTCTGTCACCCAGGCTGGATTGCAATGGTGTGGTCTCAGCTCACTGCAACCTCCGCCTCCCAGGCTCAAGCAATTCTCCTGCCTCAGCCTCCTGAGTAGCTGGGACTATAGGCGCGTGCCACCACACCCGGCTAATTTTTGTATTTTTAGTAGAGACAGGGTTTCACTATGATGGCCAGGCTGATCTCGAACTCCTGACCTTGTGATCCACCCACCTTGGCCTCCCAGAGTGCTGGGATTACAGGTATGAGCCACTGCACCTGGCCTAGGATTCCTTTAGTAACTGTCTAGTATGGTGCTGGGAATTCTTTTGGGAACAGAGGCAGCCAACCAACAGAAGTGAATGACATAGTTCTTACCCTCAAGGACAAGAAAACCAGCAATTACAGTGCAACATGCTAAGTGCTACAATAAAGGAATGCTTTCGGGCAGAGTCCAGAGAAGGGATCTCATTCAGCCTGTGCAGATCCTGGAAAGCTTCCCAAGGGATAGGGTAACTGACCGGAGACTTGTGACATATTTGTGGGGCACTTTGAGCTGCTGTCACATATGTGGATTCTTTTGATCTTCACATCACCTCTGTGAGGTAGGAGAACCATCCTGTCTTAGAAATGCAAAGACTGAAGTTCAGAGAAGTTAAATAAATTGTCCCCAAACCTCCTTAACGGTAAGTGGCAGGGAGGGGTGGGGGGTGAGGGAGTTAAACTCAGGTTTCCTGGCTCCAGGATTACTCACTTTTTATCTCATTTGGACTGAATCTCAAGTGATGAACTGTTCTGGACTGTCTCTACAAAAATCACTCACAGGTATGAACACTTTTATCCTTCAGTCTTCTCTTCTTTAGGCTTGCAATGGCAGGCTCTCGGATCTTTCCTCCAATCTGTATTGGGTTTTGAGCCAAGCAAGAAAAACCAGACACAGTCCCTATTCTTGAGGAGCCCCCAGTCTGAAAACAAGTCGTGGATACACAGAAAAAACATTCTTGTGTGTGTGATGGATGGTAGGGAACGTGTCATCAATTGTGACATTTATGGCATTTATTTGCCTTTACTAGTGAGTTCTGCTTTTTAAGATGTTTGCGACTTCTCAGGCCTCACCCTCAAAAGAATTTGAAAATTGAACACAAGCAGAGATGTTTTGTTTTCAACTCAGGACCTCACCCAGAGTTTTTTAGGCAGCAACCCTGAACCAAGTTGGCCTCGAGGTATTCGTGAGTTTCCATACCCAGAAGACTTTTTCAGCTTCTACCTTCTACCCATGAAAGGAGGTGGCATGGATGTTTCCTTTTTCTTTTTCTTTTTTTTTTTTTTTAGTATTTATTGATCATTCTTGGGTGTTTCTCGGAGAGGGGGATTTGGCAGGGTCATAGGACAATAGTGGAGGGAAGGTCAGCAGATAAACAAGTGAACAAGGGTCTCTGGTTTTCCTAGGCAGAGGACCCCGCGGCCTTCCGCAGTGTTTGTGTCCCTGGGTACTTGAGATTAGGGAGTGGTGATGACTCTTAACGAGCATGCTGCCTTCAAGCATCTGTTTAACAAAGCACATGGTGCACCGCCCTTAATCCATTTAACCCTGAGTGGACACAGCACATGTTTCAGAGAGCACGGGGTTGGGGGTAAGGTTATAGATTAACAGCATCCCAAGGCAGAAGAATTTTTCTTAGTACAGAACAAAATGGAGTCTCCCCTGTCTACTTCCCTCTACACAGACACAGCAACAATCTGATTTCTCTATCTTTTCCCCACATTTCCCCCTTTCTATTCGACAAAACCGCCATCGTCATCATGGCCGGTTCTCAATGAGCTGTTGGGTTCACCTCCCAGACGGGGTGGCTGCCGGGCAGAGGGGCTCCTCACTTCCCAGTCGGGGCTGCCGGGCGGAGGTGCCCCTCACCTCCCGGACAGGGCGGCTGGCCGGGCGGGGGCTGCCCCCCCACCTCCCTCCCTGACGGGGCGGCTGCCGGGCGGAGATGCTCCTCACTTCCCAGACGGGGCGGCTGCCGGGCGGAGGGGCTCTTCACTTCTCAGACGGGGCGGCCGGGCAGAGACGCTCCTCACCTCCCAGACGGGGTCGCGGCTGGGCAGAGGCGCTCCTCACATCCCAGACGGGGCGGCGGGGCAGAGGCGCTCCCCACATCTCAGACGATGGGCGGCCCGGCAGAGATGCTCCTCACTTCCTAGATGGGATGGCGGCCGGGAAGAGGCGCACCTCACTTCCCAGACTGGGCGGCCAGGCAGAGGGGCTCCTCACATCCCAGACAATGGGCGGCCAGGCAGAGACGCTCCTCACTTCCCAGACGGGGTGGCAGCCGGGCAGAGGCTGCAATCTCGGCACTTTGGGAGGCCAAGGCAGGCAGCTGGAAGGTGGAGGTTGTAGCCAGCCGAGATCACGCCACTGCACTCCAGCCTGGGCAACATTGAGCACTGAGTGATTGAGACTCCGTCTGCAATCCCAGCACCTCGGGAGGCCGAGGCTGGCAGATCACTCGCGGTTAGGAGCTGGAGACCAGCCCGGCCAACACAGCGAAACCCCGTCTCCACCAAAAAAATACGAAAACCAATCAGGCGTGGCGGCGCGCGCCTGCAATCCTAGGCACTGGGCAGGCTGAGACAGGAGAATCAGGCAGGGAGGTTGCAGTGAGCTGAGATGGTGGCAGTACAGTCCAGCTTCGGCTCGGCATCAGAGGGAGACCGTGGAGAGAGAGGGAGAGGGAGAGGGAGAGGGAGACAGTGGGGAAAGGGAGAGGGAGACCGTGGGGAGAGGGAGGGGGAGAGGGAGACCGCGGGGAGAGGGAGAGGGAGAGGGAGGGGGAGAGGGAGACCGTGGGGAGAGGGAGAGGGAGGGGGAGAGGGAGACCGTGGGGAGAGGGAGAGGGAGAGGGAGGAGAGGGAGAGGGAGGGGAGGGAGAGGGAGGAGAGGGAGGAGAGGGAGAGGGAGGAGAGGGAGAGGGAGGAGAGGGAGAGGGGGAGGGGGAGGAGAGGGAGGGGGAGGGGGAGGGAGAGGGAGAGGGAGGAGACTGGATGTTTCCTTTGATCATCTATCACATCTTTGCAGAGGACATATAAGCCTGTGCATGGCTATGAGAACACAGTGGAGAGCCATGTAAATAGCTTTTGCCTTCAAGGTGCCTGGCAGAAGCGAATGAATATTGCTGTCATGTACATGCAAACGTTGTGAAATGCTTCAATGTTCCACATCTTCTTTGGAGACCTTTAAGAAATTCATGGAACTTTCAGCAGTGATATTTACCACCAACAATGTAATCAAATGGGGCAGCAAGCAAAATGAGCTACTACTAATGCACCATGGAGCAGAGGAATTTTCTCTTGCGCTAACACCACAACAGACCCATTCTTTCATTTGGATTAGTATTCACTACTTGTGCTTAGTTGCTTGCAGTGGATACCCAATTTGTGAAGTGAGCTGAGGTATAATGCAGTATTGTATACTGGAACACAGGGGCTGCAAAAGCAGAACTCACTAACAAAGTCAAATGCCATGAACGTCACAATTGATGAAAACTGGCCATTTGAAAAATCTAGATATGATAAAATTGTTAAATTGATGAGGATGAAGATTGGATTATAGTATATATTCAGCATGCAAAAACAGATAATCAGGGGAAATGCAGTGACAGTCAAAGCAACTATGGAAACAATATCCATGGCAACAAATGGCCTGGTCGGAAGAGAGGCCCAAAGACTGCCTGTGTCTTCCTGATGAAATGTCTGGTAGCCCCCTAGTGGCAATGACCGGGTAGTGGCCCTCTGCGAGATGGGCGCCTCTCTGGAGATTGAGCGCCACTTCTGAGGGCCTGGAGAAGTTGACTTGTTTTGCATCCCACGGGGTCACCCCCACCTCCCCCTTTCCTTGCACTCACTGACATGAGACACAACGTATGTCCACAAACAACTGCTGCTCCTCATTGCATCTAAAGCTCCGTTGCCGGAAAACATACCATTATTTCATGCAGCACTAAGAGGAAAACACAGCGGGTTAAACTATGACACGCCATTGATTGTAAGACGCATCCCTATTCAAGAGATGATAAATGGGAAAATAAATATATGTCTTACAACCTATAAAATATAAATGACTTTCGGCATTTATATTATATTACAGGGTGAGGTGGCTCACACCTGTAATCCCAGCACTTTGGGAGGCCGAGGCGAGTGGTTTGCTTGAGCTCAGGAGTTGGAGACCAGCTCGGATAACATAGCAAGACTCTGTATTTAAAAAATATATATATATATATGTATATATATACACACACACATATATATAAATGACTTTCAGTGATTCATTTAACATTTTCAGATACTTGTTCCCTCACAAACTAAACAACTAAACCATTAATTAATTAATTCACTCATTCTACTCACATTTATTAAGTGTGGATTATTGGACAAGCACACTGACGTCAACACTGAGGATACAGCAGTGAGCTGGTGTCCTGTCTTTAGGGGGCTTTTGTTACAGTGACTTGGTTTCTGATTATCTTTGTCACACTGAATCTGTGAGTCAGTGAGTCCGTGACCCTAAGTGAGTTTCAGAGTGAAAACAGACACCAGATAAGAAGCCAGAAAACCTGGGTTCTAGTCTAGTTCTTCCCCTTAATAGTTTATTTAATCTGTCTCAACCTTATTTTATCTACTTATAGTCTATCACGGTTAAATTGAGAAATAGTTATATTTTTCTCATAGCAGAGTCTTTCAAACAATACGCAATGACAATCAAAATAGCAAAGTAGCTGTGGAAACAGTGTCCATGGCGACCAATGGTCCCATCTTTTCTTTCTTTCTTTTTTTCTTTCTTTCTTTCTTTCTTTCTTCTTCTTTTTCTTTCTTTTTCAAGGTCTCTGAGTTTCAAGTCAAGCCTAAAAAAAATTTTAAGTTTTTTTAATTTGCTGGAATGCAGTGGCATGATCATGGCTCATAGAAGCCTTAATCTCACTGGCTCAAGTAATCTTCTCACCTCAGCTTCCCAAATAGCTGGGATCATAGGCATGCACCACCATGCCCTGCTACGTTTTATTTTTATTTTTTCAATAAAGATTAGGTCTCACCATGTTGCCCAGGCTGGCCTTGAACTCCTGGACTCAAGGTATCTTCCAGCCTCAGCCTCCCAAAGTGCTGGGATTATAGGCATGAGCCACAGCACATGGACCTCATCTTTCTTTCATGTCACTAGATCAAGAAAGCTCCAGAGTTTTTCTTGTTCCCTTCAGGTGTCAAGCAATATCATTTTATGTATATAAACATCTAATTCAGAATAGTTTCACTCTTTTTTCCTATTGTCCTGCATAAAGCTTCCCCCTCCCCAGTGGACAGACTGCAATGGGCTGGCATCTGACATTTGTCTGCAGACCTCATGGTAGGAGACAGGCTGGTTTTCTGCCCTGGGAGTGGGAGTGTAGGAAAGGAGGAGGCACTGGGGACCTGTATCCCAGGTTTTCAGGGCAAGGCTGTGTAAGTATTTCCAGCAGACTAGTGTGAGGCATGCTAGGAAGCGAGCTGATGTGGAGCCGAGCTAATCCTGTCTGATGTGGCCACCTACAGGCATCAACAGGCCTCAGCAGAGAGAAGCTGAAGTGATTACTGCATTCCTATGAGCTGTGGGAGGAATAAATCGTGGAAAGAAATCCTCATTTGCAACTGTATGGCATTAGGGGTGAGGGGTCTCGGAAGAAGCACCCAAGGAGGAGGAATCCCCTGTAAGCCCCTACCAGTCCCAGAGAATGCAAAGCCCTCTTGCAAACCGTGCCTGCTCCACGCCCCAGACCACTCCTTCCCCCAACCCTTCCCCATTCTACTCAACCTTGGAGGGTTAGAAACCACCATTAGCAAGACAGGAGAAGAAGGATAGATGCATAATGTTGAGGACCTGTTTCCCCATTTCTCATCTTCCCATCCTTGCAAAGCCCTTGCTGGAGGAAAGGAGACTTACCTTTGGAACTAAACGTTGAGTTTCTGAATTGGCATTGTGTTTGGTAATATAAAATAACTACAGGACCTAAGAGAGATCAGAACAGTCTTAGTACTGTCCATATTTTCATCTTGGAATGGGGAAAACTGGCTCCACTGAGCAAGTTAAGGACGTCATAGACTGATCTGTAGATGTTCAATGAAATCTGTAATTCAAGACTAAATAACGTATTCTTGGCTGGGCACAGTGGCTCACGCCTGTAATCCCAGCACTTTGGGAGGCCGAGGAGGCGGGCGGAGGGCAGATCACCCGAGGGCAGGAGTTTGAGATCAGCCTGGCCAAAGTGGTGAAACCCCATCTCTATTAAAAATACAAAAATTAGCCAGGCGTGGTGGTGTGCACCTGTAATCTCAGCCACTCGGGAGGCTGAGGCAGGAGAATCACTTGAACCCACGAGACAGAGGTTACAGTGAGCCAAGATCATGCCACTGCACTCCAGCCTGGGCTACAAGAGCAAGACTCCATCTCAAGGAAAAAAAACTAATTAATAATAATAACTTATTCTTGAGACACATGCGATGCAAGACAAGTATTTATTGCTAGGATCTCCTCAGGTAAGCTGTGCAGTAAGTCTGTGCTGTCCTACATGGTAGCCATTAGCCACATGTAGCAACTGAGCACATGAAGTGTGGCTAGTCCAAATACAAATGTGCTCTTAAGTGCAAGACACACATGAGATTTCAAAGACTTAGTACAAAAACAGTAAAATATCTCACTAATAATTTTTATGTTTATTACTTGTCAAAATCACAATATTTTGGATATGCTGTGTTAAATAAAATTTACTATTAGAATTAATTTCACCTGTTGTTTTTTACCTTTTTGATGTGACTACTAGAACTTTGTAAATTACACGGAGCTCGCTTTCTGTGGACATGTAGTCTCTCTCACAGAGAAATACATGTATATTTCTGCTGGACATGTAGTCTCTCTCACAGGTCATAAGGCACTGAGGTCACAGGCCATAGGTTGGGATGTTTCTCCTCCAGAGAGTAGCTCATTCTCACTTTAAATCATCCTAAAGAACACAGGTACTGGTAGGTAGGTGGGCCGCAAGCTGGATTGAGTGGGGAAACTTCCTGCTGTCTTTGAACCAGAACAAGAACAGAGTTGGGAGCCTGTATTTTGCATAGTGAAGGCACACTCAAGGGAGCCACCTATCTTGGGGAGTTATGCTGGCCCCCAAAACTCAGAGCGTGCTAAAGGTGAGGCAGAGAAGCCTCCTGTAGCAAGTGCATACAGGGAGGGGCGTGGGCCTCTGAAATCTGAAAGCACCATGTCTCATTTCCAGTTTTAAGTGTACCTGGAATTCTCTTCTGTTATCCCTAGGTCTTTAGTGGAGCCTGATTAAACATGAGGCTGAGGGCAGCTGTGGGAGCTGAGGGTGGATTCTGTGCCCACTCGTGGCCCCCCCACTGGCCATGGCTTCCTCCCCAGCAGGCCTCGACAGCAGTCTCTGGAGCCTCTGGCCCAGCTTGCTGCGGGTCGCTGCTGTTCTCTTTGTGTCTCTTAGCCTGTGACTTCAATGCAGTCATCTCATTTCTGGGAATCTATCCAATTCTCAATTGTGTAAAAAGCTTTATAAACAAAAAAAGTGCATTACAGTTTACTATCTTAACAAAATATTGGAAGCAGCAGAAACATTTAGCAGTAAAAACTATAAATTATAGACTATGTACTTTGTGCATCATTGGGAAGCCACTTAAGTGACTTTTATTAAAACTTATATTAACAAAGAAGACAATAGTGTCATAATAATTTATTTAAAAAGAATTAAAGGCCAGGCACAGTGGCTCATGCTGTAATCCCAGCACTTTGGGAGGCCGAGGCTGGCGGATCACTTGAGGTCATGGCAAAACCCCATCTCTACTAAAAATACAAAAATTAGCCAGGCGTGGTTGGTGGGTGCCTGTAATTCCAGCTACTTGGGAGGCTGAGGCACGAGAATCTCTTGAACCCGGCAGGCAGAGGTTGCAGTGAACAGAGATCACGCCACTTTACTCCATCCTGGGTGACAGAACTAGACTGTCTCAAAAATAAATAAATAAATAAATATAAGGAATTAAGGAACACACAATTATATATGCAATTGGTGACAATAAAATACAACCCCTCAAAAAGAACAAAAACAAAAACCTAAACAACAACAACCACCTAGGTATAAAGAAAAGACTAGAAAAAAATGTTTTAAAATGAAACCATAACTGTATTAGGGTTCTCCAGAGAAACAGAACTAAAACCTCTCTCTCTCTGTCTCTCTCTCTCTCTCATATAGATGAGAAGACACACTCAAAGGAGCTCATATAGGTGAGAGAGAGATTTTAAGGAATTGGCTCACACGATTGTGGAGATTGGCAAGTCCAAAATTTGCAGGGAAAACTGGCAGGCTTGGAGACAAAAGTTAATGTCACAGTTCAGGCCTAAGGGCAACCTGGAGGCAGAATTCCCTCTTCCTTGGGGGATGTCAGACCCACTCACATACGGGAGGGTAATTTGCTTTATTCAAAGTCCATCCATTTAAATGTTGATTTCATCTACAAAATACCTTAGTAGAAACATCTAGAATAATGTTTGACCAAATATTTGGGTACCATGGCTTAAGCATACTGACACATGAAATTAACCTTTGGCTGGGCACAGCAGCTCATCCCTGTAATCTCAGCACTTTGGGAGGTTTAGATGGGTGGATTGCTTGAGCCCAGGAGTTCAAGACCAGCCTGGGGAATATAGTGAGACTCTGTCCCTACAAAAAACAACGAGAAAAAATTAGCTAGGCATGGTGGCGAGTGCCTGTGGTCCCAGCTGCTCGGGAGGCTGAGGTGGGAGGATCTCTTGAGCCTGAGAAGTTGAGGCTGCAGTGAGCCGTGATTGTGCCACTGCACTCCAGCCCGAGTGACAGAGTAAGACCATGCCTCAAAAAATTAATTAATTCATTAAATTTAATAAATATTTTTAAAAATTAACTTTCACAATGATCTAAGGCTTACTACTTTAGGATTTGCTTTTGAAATACTTTTCTGTGTTTTCCAAAATACATAAAATAATAAAGATGTACTTATGATGGAAAAGGCCTGTGTAAACACATTTTAAAACACAGCCTCCTTGGGGTAGCCCCAGAGTCCCAGGGCTCTCCATGGCCCCTTGGACACCTTTCACAGCATTCCTCACCTCTGTCTTCTACCATTATTATGCATGTCTGAATATGTCTTCCTTTGCTAAACATCAAACAGAGTTTTAGGACTGGGATTCTAGAAAGTGAGAGAAGGCAGGCGCAGAGGAGGCAGTGGGAGCCTGCCTGAGGGCATTAACGTCAGTCCTGGGCTATGTGCTGGCTCCTCAGGACCGCCCTTCTGAGGGGCACAGACACGTGAGTGGAGGGAGCTCATGTTCCAGTTTCTTTGCAAAAATCAACTTGATAAAGTTTTTCCTGTTTTGTTAAAATTGCCTAAAATTTTTTAGCAATACTTCATTTGATTTTCTCTAATGGTTTCTGTCATTTCTTTGAGTTTTAATTTATTGCTCATGCTTTAACATCCCAGTTTATGTCTTGCTTAATTTAATGTCCATATAGTTGACCCTTGAGCAACATGGATTTGAACTGCATAGGTCCACTTAGGTCCACTTATGCATGGGTTATTTTCAATCAAATGCAGATCACAAACACAGTAATGGTGACATGTGAAACCCATGTATACAAAGGCCCAACTTTACATATATTTGGGACCCAAAGGGCTGACTGTGGGACTTGAATATGTGTAGGTTTTGGTATACACAGGAGTCTTGGAACCAATCCCCCTCATATACCAAGGGACTACTGTATATCTGCTTTGTTTATTTCTTTTTTTTTTTTTTGAGGTGGAGTCTCACTCTGTTGTCCAGGCTGGAGTGCAGTGGCGCCATCTCGGCTCACTGCAACCTCCGGCTCCCGGGTTCAAGTGATTCTCCTGCCTCAGACTCTCAAGCATCTGGGACTCCAGTCACCCGCCACGCCCAGCTAATTTTTTGTATTTTTAGTAGAGACGGGGATTCACCATGTCGGCCAGGTTGATCTCCAACTCCTGACCTCAAGTGATCCGCCAGCCTCAGCCTCCCAAAGTGCTGGGATTACAGTCGTGAGCCACGGTGGCCAGTCTCATTACCATTTGTTAAGAACTCATTTGGGCGGGCAACAGGTATACATCGCCTCATGAAAACTGAGTCACTCAGCCTGTGCTCCCACCTGGACAGAACACCATGCAGCCTCTGCTTAGAGATGCTCCACAGGAGCCAGTGTGGAAACACCAGGGCCAGGCATCCTTTAGAAAACCATTTTGGGATTGCTCCAGCTCATGAACCAGCAGTTAACTGAGTCACCAGCCATATCATAAAGCATGACTACAACTACGCAGGCCTGGTCCCTAACCCCATGTTGTTACAGCAAAATATAACCCATTCTTATTTCAGAAAAAGAAAAAAAGCTAGATGTGATGGCACATGCCTGTAGTCCTGGCTACTTGGGGGGCTGAGTCAGAGGATCAGTTGAGCCCAGGAGTTCAAGGTCACAGTCAGCTGATTGTACCACTGCACCCCAGCCTGGGCAACAGAGGGAGACCATCTCTAAATAAAATAAGACAAAAACAACAACAAAAAAAAAACAGAAGAAGAAAATATACCAAAATGTTAACAATGTCTTCTATCTTTATTTATTGGGGTTAGAAATTACTTTTGTTTTCTTATATTATGTATATTTTATTTCAAACCTGATAATTTTTTTTTCCTTTTTGAGACAGGATCTCGCTCTGTTGCCCAGGGTGGAGGGCAGTGGTGCGATCTCGGCTCATTGCAGCCTCAGCCTCCCAGGCTCAGGCAATCCTCCCACCTCAGCTCCCTGAGTAGCTGGGGCTACAAGAACACGCCACCATGCCTGGCTAATTTTGTTCGCTTTTTGTAGAGATGGAGATCTCACTACGTTGTCCAGGCTGGTTGCAAACTCCTGGACTCAAGCCCTCCTGCCTCGGCCTCCCAAAGTGCTGGGATTACAGGCGTGAGCCACCATGTCCAGCCAATGTTATTTAATTTATTTATTTTTATTTATTTATTTTTTTGAGACAGGGTCTCATTCTGTTGTCCAGACTAGAGTGCAGTGGTGCAATCATGGCTTATCGCAACCTCAACTTCCCTGGGCTGAGGTGATCCTCCTACCTTAGCCTCCCAAGCAGCTGGGACTACAGGTGTGAGCCACCACACCTGGCTAATTTTTGTATTTTTTGTAGAGATGGGGGTCTTACTATGTTGCTCAGGCTGGTCTTGAACTCCTGGACTCAAGTTATCCTCCCACCTCGGTGTCCCAAAGTGCTGGTATTACAGATGTGAGCCACCATGTCCAGCCTTATTTTTAAAAGAAGGAGAAAATTATTGAGCAAGAGAGTCTCTCTGCAGTTCTTAAGATTGCTGTCAGAACCACCTCAATACTCTTTCTGCAGTCTGTGCTTTGAGCAGCAATATAAAAATGCAGCATTTTATGAGCATTAATAGCAGGGAATGTAAATTAGCCTATTTGTTTTGGCTCTGCTTTGCTTCTGATCATTAGAGGCCAGCAAAAATAGAATGAGAACTGCAAACTCCCTCTTGTTCCCGGAAGATCTCTCCACAGCATGGCATATCAGTCAGATTTCTGGGCTGTCTCATCTCCGTCTCCGTAAGAAAGGATCTTGTTGGAAATACATTGAGGCATACACTGAAGCAGAGGCCCCAGTGCCACCTGGGCAGAGGCAAGCCAGAGAAAACAGAGGGAAATGAAAAGAAAGACTTCCTGGTATTCACTTCTACATACTGCCAGCTAAGCTGCGCTGGGTACCCAGAGCCCACCCACCACATCTACACCACAAATTCAACTGGGACTTCGGGCTTTTTTTTTTTTTTTTTGAGTCTGAGTTTCGCTCTTGGTTCCCAGGCTGGAGTACAGTGGCAGGATCTTGGCTCACCACAACCTCCGCCTCCTGGGTTCAAGTGATTCTCCTGCCTCAGCCTTCCTGAGTAGCTGGGATTACAGGCATGCACCACTACGGCTGGCTAAGTTTTTTGTTTTTTTTTTTTTAGTATAGACGGGGTTTCTCCATGTTGGTTAGGCTGGTCTTGAACTCCTAACCTCAGATGATCCGCCCACCTTGGCCTCCCAAAGTGCTGGGATTACAGGCCTGAGCCACTGTGCCTGGCC
>NT_167244.2:2811318-2871763 GCF_000001405.40 Homo sapiens
GGCCATCTGTGTACAGTGAGACGCTTCCCTTCGGGGTTGGGAGCACCCAGTGTCATGGTCCTGAGTGTTGCTACCCTGCTGTTCTCATCTGTGAATGCAGCCAGACCACTTTCTTCCTCTGATATAAATAACTTGGAGGATCTGTCACCAGACACCTCATATCTACATATTAATAAATTCTGTACGGTGGTTTGGCTTAATGTTTTATATGTTATAAGAAATAAGCAAAACATAGGGATGATATTTTTAGTAAAGGTATTTCAGGGTATATGAGAATCAGATTCCTAGGGCCCTGTGTACCTCATCTTGCTGTTTAAAGTCCTCATGGAGGATCAGTGGAGTGCAGAGCCCAGAAATCATCCTGAAGGCTGAAGCTCCCTGGTGAAAAGGACCCTCTCCTGCACCCTGGGGCTCAGAGGGAACAACAAAGCTCCCTCCCAGGGTCTCCAGCCTCTGGCCTATACTGTCAGCCTGCACTTTCTTGGCCTTCCTGGCTGCTAATATTCCAGTTCCCAGCAGCCTCCTCTCTCACCCTTCACCTCTTCTGACTGGGTGCGAATGGTAACTAGACCAGGCAGTGCCCTCCTTGTCAGTCTGCCTGTCTGCCTGGTTCCCTCTCAGAGTTTGTGTCTTCACTCGGTTCATCATCCCCAGCCCCAGCAGGAACAGGGAGAAGTGACTTGGCAAATGCCCCACTCAAAATGGGATCCCTCAACCAGAGACCACTTGTGAAAGTCAGTTTTCCCTGACTAAAGAAACAGGACATTTACCCTGTTAGAAGTTGATGTCTGCCAGAGACCTCCACCTGGGAAATGCTGGTTCATGGCAGGGTCTCTCTTTTAGTAAAGGGAAAAATTCCTGGCTAATTGATAGCTAATAAGTCATTTAGAATCCAGTTCATGTAAAAGGATTACCTACTTAAAGGATTAACTCCATTATAATAAGGACACACATCCCACACCGCACATCCAATGTCATTTGTGAGATTGCTTTGATTCGCTCATGTAGAATGTTACTCTGCTGCTTTGCAGAGAGGCTTGCCACACATTTCAAATCTCTGCTCCTCATTTCACACCATCTGGCTCATGAGGTGAAGGTGATGAGAAGTGTCTTCAGACAATACTCCGAGGTTTGTCTATCAGAGTCATAGTCATATATTACATATAGAGATTATTTTCTTAGAAGTTGTAATTTATTGATATGTATTTTACTCATGGCATAGATAGATACTATCCAACAATTCGTTTTTATTACCTCTACATTACACTGCTTAGGTAGCCACTACTGGTACCTCTGCATTTTCTTTCTTGTATGTGACATTAATGTATAAGATTGTATGTACATGGTGGCTTGGTTTCCAGGAATTGCTGATTAGGTAATTTAGACCATTCCTTCCACTGAGTACAATGGGAAAAGGAGGAAAACATACATATTTGAAAAATCTGGTTGAGCAAATGGATGGGCTAACAAAGCAGTGAAGATTTGCCTGGCCAGGAACCAGGAGAGGGGAGAAATCCAGAAGAGCAACTTGAGCTGTGGGGCTGCTTTTGTGGATCAGAGGCAGTAACACCTGCTCCCTGGCCAGAAGCCAACTTCCAGGATTCAGGACTCAGAATTCAGAACTTAGACGGTCCCTTGGTCTCTCTAGAATTCAGTGCTCATTTAGACCGGGCTAAGACCCTCACACTCAATGGCTGGAGGATCCAAGCTTATGGCATGACTGCCTCTGGAGCATTTCATGCTAGAGAGATCCCAACAGGTGTAGGTAAATGGTCTAGAGGGTACTAGCCGGGCTTCCATGGAACTCTGTGTAAGGCACTTCCCTGTGTTGTTACTCATGTTGGCCATGTCCTCGGGAATTTAGTGGAACGGCCATGTCGTCTTGAGTGGAAGTGAGGACGGTGAGGTGGTCCCTGGGCAGTCAGAGATTTTGTGTCCCTGCGTCCTTTCCTTCCATCTCAACCAGAGACCACTTGTGAAAGCCCAAGAACAAATGTCATTAAATGTCTGAGGCGAATCCAAGACCACCGATCCATTGCGCCCAGGAGCCTTGGGCCATGTAGCCCAGCAGTAGTGAGGTCTGTGAGGCCTTGGTCACCCCCAAAGTGTTGCCCCAAGAGGAGCTGCCGCTCGTTGCCATCAGGCACCTCAGGAGCTGGACATGGTATTCATTATAATTTCTGATGAGGAACTAGAGAGGTCTCATAGCATATAGACCTTGATCAAATTGGGTCATGGTGGAGTCAGGCAAAACTCTGCAATGACTCACAGGTACCTAAGTATAAAACAAAGTCTCAACTCAGAGCATCCATCAGAGCTTCAGGCTCAGTAGTCATTCCTTTATGCTGTTGCTGTGTTTGTACTGTGATAACTGGTGCTTGAAGGGAGGACATATAGTTACATGTTGCGGGAAAACACATGTCATTAGAAAACTTGGCATGATTTAGGGACCATTGCCTTTTCCATGGTAGATGTGGGACTCTCTGTCATCTTCACCCTGTTGTTCCAAGTGCAGAAGAGAGAGCTTCTTCCTGCTTTCAGCTGCGTGACTGACAACGGAAGCTGGAATTCAGAGAATCAGTGGCAGCCTCTGTCTCTCCAGGCCCCAACCCTGCAGGTTTAAGGAATGGACTTAGGTCTCTGGCACTTTGTTCTCAACACACATTTTCCTTCACTCATTCAGAAAAAAAATAATAATAATAGAAAATGAACCAAAGGCTGCAATTCTCATGGCACCTAGAGAACTGGAGTACGGACCAAGGTTGCCACATGCCTGTCATTGCTCCACCACACTCGGTTGCCGTGTGACCTCGGGAGAAGCTCTCTACCACTAGGGACTTTTAAACTCATCTGTGAATCCTGGATAAACACAGACATTCCGGTAACCTTACTGAAATGAAGTGAGGACCAATGAGTTGACAGGTGGAGAAAATTTTTTTTTTTTTTTTTTTGAGACAGAGTCTTGCTCTGTCACCCAGGCTGGAGTGCAGTGGAGCGATTTCGGCTCACTGAAAGCTCCACCTCCTGGGTTCATGCCATTCTCCTGCCTCAGCCTACCGAGTAGCTGGGACTACAGGCGCTCACCACCACACTCGGCTAATTTTTTGTATTTTTAGTGGAGACGGGGTTTCACCATGTTAGCCAGGATGGTCTCGATCTCCTGACCTCGTGATCCGCCCGCCTTGGCCTCCCAAAGTGCTGGGATTACAAGCGTGAGCCTCCGCGCCCGGCCGCAGAAACAGAAAAATTTAGGTGATGGCCTTTACTCCTAGACAGGGCTTTTTTAGGAACATGCACCTTAAAAGTAGGAGGAAAACATAATGCCAGCAACACCCTGCCTAAAAGCCCCTTTAGTGATGATAATTATCATTCATCTTTCTATAAAAGTACAGCAAGACTTTCTACCTCAATATCTCAAATCAGTTAAATATATCTTCTGATCATATACCAGTGTGGACCCACATGTTTTGCTCCAAGTGAAAATGAAAAGGAATGAGAACATCTCCACCTTTGTGTGGTGACCATGGGACCACGGAGGCTTGGAAGCCAGCCTACATCTGCCCAAACTCTACATCACCTGCCATTGTCAATTTTCAATCTATCCGTTCTATGCTTTGGAATCCTACATAATTCATACTCTTGAAAAATCTCATTTTCATATGTAGGGCAGGGTAGAAAAGGTGATATCTCTGTTTTAATTTGCTAAGACTTCCATAATAAAGTGGCACAGACTGGGTAAGTTAAACAGTAGAAATGTATTATCTCCCAGTTCTGGAGGCTACAGGTCCACGATGGAATGTATTGCAGGGCTGATTGCTCCTGAGGCCTGTCTCTGGCTTACAGATGGCCATCTTCTCCCTCTATCTTGTCAACATTGGCCTCAAAATATGTGTACAGGGACACAGTTTAGCCCATAAGAGTCTGCGCCATCCTTGGCGGTGCATATTATAAGAAATAAAAGAGAATACAACCCTTTGGCTGGACTCTGTTGATATTTTGAAATGTTGGTCTTGCAATAAGAACACCACCAAAGGCCAGGCGCAGTGGCTCACGCCTGTAATCCCAGCACTTTAGGAGGCCGAGGCGGGCGGATCACGAGGTCAGGAGATCGAGACTACCCTGGCTAACACGGTGAAACCCCTTCTCTACTAAAAATACAAAAAGAAAAATTAGCCGGGCGTGGTGGTGGATGCCTGTAGTCCCAGCTGCTCGGGAGGCTGAGGCGGGAGAATGGTGTGAACCCAGGAGGCAGAGCTTGCAGTGAGCCAAGATCTCGCCACTGCACTCCAGCCTGGGCGACAGACCAAGACTCCATCTCAAAAAAAAAAAAAAAAAAAGAACACTACCAAAACAAGGGAGCCGAAGTTTAGTTTTCCCTGGAAGGTGAGCACTCCCTGAGCCTGGCCGCCCCAGGGCAGCAAGACCCAGTGCTATGTAGTTCTCCAAAGTCCTATTTACTTTAGTGATTCTGATTCTGTATTTTTAACTGGGAAAAGGATTCTCTTTCAGGAAAGCAACCACTTCTGATGCTATTTAGGTATTATTCTCCTTATACTTATAGGAGAAAAAATTGATGTTAATGAACAGGAAATATTTGCCAAATTATCACACAAATAATTTTTGTATCATTTTAAAATACTCCTTATTGTACTGAGCTTGTTGGTATTTTAATAAAAATTATTGGCATATAATATTTATACATACTTTGGGGTACACATAATATTTTCATGCATGTGTAGAATGTGAAATGATCGAGTCAGGATATTTAGGATACTCATCACCTCAAGCATTTATCAGTTATTTGTGTTGGGTGAATTTCAAATCCACTCTTATAGCTATTGTGAAATACACAATACATTGTTGTTAACTACAGCCAGCCTGCTGTGCTATCGAATATTAGAATTTATTCCTCCTATTTAACTGTATCTTTGTACCCATTAAGCTACCTCATTTTATCTCCCAGATCCCCCACACACCCTTCCCAGCTTCTGGTAACTATTATTCTACTCTCCACCTCCATAAGATCAACTTTTTTTCAGTTCTCACATGTGAGTGAGAACATGTGATATTTGTCTTTCTTTGCCTGGTCTATTTCACTTAACATACTGACCTCCAGTTCCATCCATGTTGCTGCTAGTTATTATGAGGTAGTTCTAGCTGGAAGAATAGAGAATTAAAAGAAATCTTTGTGAAGCCCCTACCCAGGTTTGTCAATTTGTAACATTTTAATATTATTGGCTATATGTAGTATACATAGAAAATAATAGAAATATATGCAGATAGCCCTGATTCTCCACAGTTCTGTTATGTATGTGTTTCCGCTGAAACACATACAGTACAGTACTCTATGTACTGTACAGTACTACTGTACTGAGTACTGGACTGCCAGTGGGGAGTGGCGGATGTCTTGAATTTGGTGAATGCCTTTATATTGCTACAAAGTGTTTTTTTTTTTTGGTTGTTTGTTTTGAGACGGAGTCTCGCTCTGTCGTCCAGGCTGGAGTGCAGTGGCGGGATCTCGGCTCACTGCAAGCTCCGCCTCCCGGGTTCACGCCATTCTCCTGCCTCAGCCTCCCAAGTAGCTGGGACTACAGGAGCCCACCACCACGACCGGCTAATTTTTTTGTATTTTTAGTACAGACGGGGTTTCACTGTGTTAGCCAGGGTGGTCTCGGTCTCCTGACCTTGTGATCCGCCCGCCTCAGCCTCCCAATGTGCTGGCGTGAGCCACCGCGCCCGGCCTACAAAGTTTTTTAAATCCTTTCGTTTGACATGATTTTAGACTTTGTAAAAATTGTTTTTTGTTGAATGTATCATTCTGTGGCTTGCTTTATCGTTTAATATGGTCTATGAGGTGAACCCACACACCCATAGAAACAGTTCATTTGTTTTCAGTGCTGGATAGCATTTATGAGACGAATATCCCACAATTTATCTCTTCTCCTGTCCGCGACCTTTAGCTTGTTTCTGTTACAGACACTGCCACAATGAACATCCTGGGTCATCTCTCTCTGGTCCCCTGTGTGAGTTCCCCAAGATACGGATGTAGGAATGGGATTACTGTGCTTTTACCATGTGATGTTATAGGATGTCAAATTGTTCTCTGAAGAGGTTGTATCAACTCCCCCCTTTAAAATCTTCTTTGACATTTTACAGGTCAAGTTATCTTCCTCCCCAACTAGCTGCTCAGCCTCAGTCCCCCTTCATTGGCTCCTTTTGCTGTAGATGCTGGAGCACTGTGGGGTTTTACTGCCTCCCAATCACTCTAGTGTCCTCCACTCCCAGGATTTTAAATATCGTCTAGACACAGATGGCTCCCAAATGTATATCTCTACATATTTCTATAATCAAAAAACTAATGGTACCAAAACAGGTACTCTGATATATTGCAGATGGGCCTGCAAACTGGAAATGTTTTCAGGAAAGGCAGTATGGCAATTTCTGTCTAAATTAAAAATGCATACACCCAGTAGTCCCACTTCTAGAAATGTGTCCAAAAATAGACCTGCATTCCTGAAAAATGACTGTATTCAGAATTATATGATGCAACCCTGTTTGTAAAATCAAAAAGGAAAGAAGAAAGAAAATGAAAGATAAAAGAAAAAATAATCCAAATGTCTGTCACTAGCGGACTAGTTAAAAAAGCATTGCAAGCTGGGCACAGTAGCATTCACCTGTGAATACACTCTACTCCACTCTGGGTAACATGAGGAGGCCTCCCTACCTTCCTAAGAAAACCCAAACAAGCACTGCATATCTACACGGCTGAGTCTACAAACATTTAACACAAAAGAAGAAAGACATAGGAAACTCTTGATATTCCCTCATGGGATGGTCTCCATGATACATTGTTAAGAAGAAATAAAGCAAGGTGTAGAATAACATATAGAGTCTGCTAAAATTTGTGTGAAAAGGGACAAAGAGATATATATACACATTTATATTTGCTTGCATATGCATAAAATATATTTGGAAGAATAAGCAAGAAGATATCCCTGGTTGCCTGTTGGGGATGAGACAAGGTAAGAAAGAGACATTTTACCTTTTGAATATTTTGAATTTTGAATTTTGAACTATATCAAGAAATAAAAGATAATTCCTAGGGCAACCAAACAAACCCCAAAAAAATTCAAAATGAAAAACCTTTTAAAAACTAATAGAATTTTTTTACCTTTATTAAAATAAATTTTAAAAATTTTCTAAATATTATATTATTCCTTTAACAAGGAGGTTTACTGCCATTTTAATTCAGTACGTTGTTTTCTTTTTAATCGCATGATCTTTCTTTACATCTATCTTTTTTCCATTACAAGGTAAAATAACAGCATGATTAATTAAATGCAATTTGTTTGGTGAAGGAAATTTTGTTCAAATCTTGGTCTAAGTGGGAAAGGGATTCTAGGGGATCCAGTGCAGCAGTTATGGGTTTCAGTATGCTCACGACGCCCTCCAGTGTTTGTGTGGGCTCATGGATGCCATATCTAGAAAACACTGGAATTCTCAAGCACACGTGACTGAAGCCATTTGCCAAATGTTCAAGGTCCTATTAATGGCCCATCTGAGTACTTGTCATACGCGGTCACCCTATCTTTGGATCAGAAGGTACACTCAGAGCTCCTAGTGTCACATCCCAGGCCCAACCTGCTGAGATTAGTCGAGGAAGGTCTGGAGGTCAGTGTCGTGAGGGGTGGGAAGACTGAGGGTGTGGGGGCCAGTTGTGGAGTGGCGGGAGCCCCAGGTGCTGTATGAAGCCGAGCCTCTGGATCACCCTGTGACCCCACATTTGGTCCCTTCCTGGGTGTCTTCCATTCCCAGGACTCCCAGGAAATAAAATGCTGCAAGATTGGGGTGGGGAGCTGTCCAGGGTAGGTCAGGTGTGTTCTCACTGATCCCACACCTCTGCCTCCCAGCCCACTCCCAGCCCTCTTCTGATATTAGAAACCAACACAGATTGCCTTAGGGTGGTGGTTCTCAAAGTGTGGTCCTGGGGGAAGCAGCATTGGCATCACCTGGGAACTTAGATATGCAATCTTCAGGGCCTGGCCTGGACCTACTGTATCAGAAACTCTGCATTTAACAAGCCCCCAGCAGAATTCTGCTTTTCAAATCAGATCTCTCTCTCTCTCTCTCTCTCTCTCTCTCTGTTTCAAGTCTCAATATTGAGTAGCTGTGACTTCTGGATAGTCAGGTGTCAGACACCCTTTCTTGCCAGGAGGCACCAGGCTCCTCAATCAGCTTAGTCTCATTCTTGGCCTGGCCCAGGGAAAGATGTTCACTTCCTGGATTCTGAGCAAAGCTCTCCTATCCTGGGTGCCTGTGGGGCTCCCACTTACACCACAAAACAAAGCTCAAATAATATTTTTTTCTTTTATGAGATTTTTGGTATTCCTTCATTAGTCAGAGCTGAAGATCTACATATATGTCTACCAAGCAAGTGTGCATGTCCCACTAGCCAGTTTGTTAGTCTTGCCAATGCACCACAACGTAGCAGCCTCTCAGTCTCTCCTTGTGAGGTGTTACCTGGAGTTCTTTGTCTCACCACCAAGAGAATTAAGGAGCGTGGATACAAAGGGTGAGGTTGGAGCAAAAGTTTAATAAGCAAAAGAAGAAAGCTCTCCCCTGCAGAGAGGGGACTTGGAAGATGGTTGCCATTTTTACAGCTGAATGCAAAGGCTTTTACAAGAAACTGATGAGGGCTGGGTGTCTCATTTGCATAAGGCACGAATTTCCGGTAGCTCCACCCCATCCTCCTAGTGCCCATGCAGGCCCTTAGCTTGAGTTACTCCATATTGCTTTGTTTCCCTGACTGCCCACGTATCGGGGGACAGAATTTTCCATTGCGGGCATGTCTGGGCAAGTCTCCTGTGCAGCCTTTCTTATTTGTGCAGCTGTGGGCATGTCTTAGGCAAGCCCCCCTGTGCAAGTTCCCTTCTCTGTGCCTGCAGGCCGTTCTTTTGTTTGAAATAATTCAACTGAGGACCCACCATAACTGCCCGCCTGACCAGTTTCTTCCTTTTTTCTCTCTCAATTTGTGTTATGATTTCCTTACTGATCTCTGCCTGAGCAAGACTGGGCACGCCTTGAGGGCAAGGAGGGTTTATTTGCTCTTACCTCAGTTCCAGCTCCTCTTAAAACAATGCCCCACGCACAGTAGGTATTTGATAAATGTTTACCAAATGAAGGGATTGCCTGGAATGGCTTGGCAGACAGGAAAGCAGAATGAAAACCCACAGGCCAAAAATGGCTGGGAAAAGATTTTCCAAATCCTAGTGCTGGGCACAGGGCCCACTGAAATTCACTTTCGGAAACTTCCCATCTGTCTCGTTCTCCTCTCATCAGGATAGAGCCCACCTAGTCACACACTACCTTTCAGGACCACCTTCCAGATCAGCCAGGTACAAATCCCACAGACTTCCTGCCTGTGGCTCCAAATGCTCAGCTGAAATTCTGAGGCTAATTTCAGTGGAGTTAGAGGCTTATCCCTTAGGAGTGGCAATGGCTGGCTTTAAGATTCGAGAAGTAGTGTTTACATCTCAAAAGAGAAGACCGCTCCACCAGAAATGCAGAGTTTTTGTATGTGCGGGTCCGGGGTCTTCAGGAGATAAAGAATGATAGCTCCAGGAGCGCTGGGACCCCCGTGCAGCCACCAGTCACCACAGCCTAGGCAGGGGTTGGGCTCTCACCTCGGCCCCTCCTCTGCACGTCCTGGATGTGGATGGTCCCCGAGTGTGAACTAGCCTGGGCTCTGACCCTGGGTGCTCTTCCCGCCGTTGTGGAGCCTCTGCGGGTGTGGTGCATGCACAGGGGGCTTCACAGGAGACCCGGGGCCCTTTAGAGTCTCAAGGCCAACATTCTTGGAGAATCCATGTCAAGCATTCAGGCTCTCAGGGACTCAGATGCCCAAACTATGAAAATGAGGGAATCTATCCCACTCTCTCAGGTGTGGTGAGATTCCTATTATATGACTATCGGTCATCTATACATGGATTGTACTCTCAGAGTTGCCTTTATCAGTCGGCCAATGCCTAAAACCCAAAGATGGGTCAGGCATGGTGGAGGACGAGTTCCTTTCTTACCTTCTGAAGGTGCCATCAACAGGAATTTCTACCCTGTGGAGTCTAGAGGAGACTTTCCTTGAAGCTGAGTTGGGAATGGACATTTGGACTTTTTTTTTTAAGAGTTAGTAACTCCGTGGAGAACCACACATTTATTTGCTTACTTTAATTCTACAGCAACATTCGAGGTGGCTTACTGCAACAAACCCAGTGTAATAAATACATACGAATTACTTTAAAATAACACCAAGGAAAATATACATTTTAAAAGATTAAGGCTGGGGTAAAGCTGGAACATTACTAGGCGGGAAGGAACATCTGAAACATTTGCTGAAATGGAGTTGACCCTTTACCTGGCCATAGATTTGTTGCCTCACGATTTCATTACATCTGAGCACCAGGGAGGGGGGTGGCAGTTCAGGTCACCAGTCCCTTGTTTCCTGCTTCAGGAACAGTGTCCTGTTCTACACTTACAGTCAAAGCAAATTACATCGTTGTAAGATGTTTAATGATGAAGTCAAAGTCCACAGAGTCAGCAAGTAAGTGTAAAAACCTCAGGAGTCCAAGGACAGTCTACGTTTCTCCCCAGAAATGGCCTCACTATGCACTGTTGAAGGGAGAGGGTCCTTTCAAGGGGCCCCAAGATGCAGGAGCAATTGGGCTGCAGCTCTAAATAAAGATGTCCTTTCTACCTGCAGATTCCACAAAACCTCACAGGCAAATTTGGTGATCTCACCTGAGCTAGGAATTCGGTTTTTTGACGTTGGTTCTCTTTGAGCCATTGTGTGAGCTTTAAAATGTGATGTGGAGATTTTGCTATACTGGTATTTCCTTGCTGGAATTTGACATCCACAGTGGCTCTGGCTTCCCTGTCTGGTCCCAGGAGGAAATGGAGTGTCCTGCACTTTTTTTCAGCATCGCTTTGTGTAAGAAGGATCAGGAGACCTGGAGTCAGGGGCTCCTCCAATCTCACTCTCCTTCATAAAACAGTGTCCCTTAAGCTTTCTGGGGGTGAGGGCCTTAACACCGTGCTGTTCTGATGAATATAATTGTCCCAGCTCCCGAAACAAAAGCACAGGTGCACAAAATACCGACTGTTGCAAGCAATGCCAAGGTGGGGATGTTTCCTAGGTGCCAGGTTTAGCACTTTGACTTTGTATATACACACACAGGGGCCAGGCGTTGTGGTTTATGCCCGTAATCTCAGCACTTTGGGAGGCTGAGGCATGAGAATTGCTTGAAGCCAGAAGTTCAAGACCAGCATGGGTAACAAAGCAAGACCCAGTCTCTACCAAAAAAAAAAAGAAAAGAAAAGAAAAGAAAAAAATACACACACACACACACACACACACACACATACTGGGTGTGGTGGCTCCAGTCTGTAGTCCCAGCTACTCGAGAAGCTGAGGTGGGAGGATTGCCTGAATCCAGGAGTTGGAGCCTGCAATGAGCTGTGATCGGGACACTGCTCTAGCTTGACCATCAGAGTGAGACCCTGTCTCAAAAACAAACAAACAAAACAAAACAAAATACATACACACACACAGCCAGAGCCAGCACTGAGGGAGAGGCTGGCCTCAGGGGTGGGGTCACAGGCATTTCTCAGGTCCCTCTCAGTGGTCTTTGTCTCTTTTTCCTGGAGGTGGAGGAGTCTGTACTTCATGAGGAGAAGTCCTCTGAAGAAGGCGGGAGATACTCAGGAGCGGGGTCCGGAGAGGGAAAAGGATGAGGAAGTGGAGACAAAGTGGAGGGGGCAGGGCAAGAAGGGCACATGTGAGGAATGGGGAGGGGGAGGACCTTCCAGCTGTCAGAAAGGTCCCACGCAGAATTTGGCTCTTGGTTTTTCTGCTTTATCAGGATGGATTTGGGAAACCAGCCGGAGCGGGAGATAAGGAGTCTACTTTGCAAAGGACACGTGTGAGTCTCGTCCTAATTTGAACTCATGAGTAGCAGCTGACAGCCAGGACCCTTGCGTGGGGCGCGTGACGCCCCTTTGCAACCAGGGCGTTTTCTGCACCCCACCAGCCATCCCTCCTGGGACCACGCTGGTCCTCTCCAACCCTAACAGGGAGAGAAGGAAGGAGAGGTCTGGAGGCTTTGGGTCCTCCCTCGTGCTCCTTCTTCCTCTGCCATTTATTCCCTGAGTGTCCTTGACTTTCCTCCGCTACCCGGACCCCACTACAGCAAAGCACATCCTGCACACTGGCCTGGACTCCCTTTGTAACCACCCAGTGTGTTCACCTTGCTGACTGCCTAGACAAAGCCGATTTATCAAGGCAGGGGAATTACAATAGAGAAAGAGTAATTCATGCAGAGCCGGCCGTGCGGGAGACCAGAGTTTTATTACTCAAATCAGTCTCCCCGAAAACTCTGATCAGTTTTTAAGGATAATTTGGTGGATAGGGGGGGCCAGTGAATCAGGAGTGCTGATTGGTTGGCTCCGGTATGAAATCATAGTGAGTGGAGGCTGTTCTCTTAGGCTGAGTCAGTTCCTGAGTGGGGGGCCACAGGACTGGTTGGCAGGTCCAGATGGGGTCCTCCAGTTGTTAGAAATGCAAAAACCTGGCCTGGCGTGGTGGCTCACGCCTGTAATCCCAGCACTTTGGGAGCCCGAGGCGGGCGGATCACGAGGTCAGGAGATCGAGACCATCCTTGCTAACACGGTGAAACCCGGTCTCTACTAAAAATACAAAAAATTAGCCGGGTGTGGTGGCGGGAGCCTGTAGTCCCAGCTACTCAGTAGGCTGAGGAAGGAGAATGGCGTGAACCCGGGAGGCGGAGCTTGCAGTGAACCGAGATCGCGCCACTGCACTCCAGCCTGGGCGACAGAGCGAGACTCCGTCAAAAAAAAAAAAAAAAAAAAAGCAAGAAAAGAAAGAAAGAAAAAGAAAAAAGAAATGCAAAATACATCTCAAAAGGCCGCTCTGAGGTTCACAATAGTGATGTTACCTTCAAGAGTAACTGGGGAAGTTGCAAATCTTATGACCTCCGGAATAATGGCTGGTAATATTCAGAATTCCAGCCCCTCTCATCCTAACTTAATGGCTGGCGGCCTTTCATTCGTTTTAAAAGAACACTTTCCCTTTAAACTATAAATTCCTTCCCAAGGCTAGTTCGGCCTATGCCCAGAAATGAACAAGGGCAGGTTAGCGGTTAGAAGCAAGATAGGGTGAGTTAGGTTTGATATCTTTCACTGTCATCATTTCCTTACTTATAATTTTGCAAAGGCGGTTTCACCTTGGCTTCAGCCCCACCCATGCAGTAACACTGTGCCCTGTCCTTCCAACCACTGCCACTAGGTGAAAGCAGAGAGAGCATCGCCCAGATGGGCTAGATTCTTCTCACAGGCTCACTGCTAGAACGAACATTCTTGAGACTTTAGATCTAAGCCAGCCTGATTTCTGAAAGCCTTGGACCGTTTCCAAAATCAAATCAATACTCCAGGAACAAGATCTGCCTCGACTTTGTCTCCATCCAAGGACGCTATGGCAACGCAGTTTTCAAACGTGCTTTGAGAATAAATGGAACAGGGTCCCCTGTGTCCCCACTCATTTGCGTTTTCCTTTTTATTACAGCCAACCCCTTTTGTAAATATTGTTACACATCTCTCTATTCCACTGAAAACATCTCTTTCAAAGGCACTTTAAGAAAGATTCAATGACATGAAAATATGAAGGATCCTCTTGAAAGAGTTTCTGGTGGTGGGTTTTAAAGAACATTTTGGTTTTTAAAACTCTGTAACCATTTTGGTGTGGGGCTTAGCTTCGTATTTTCAAATTGAAATATTCTCTTCCTTAACGTCCGCATAAATCCAAGTTCACAATTTTTATTGTTTTAAAATTTTATTTATTTTTGTTTTGGGGACAGGTTCTCCTCCTGTCACCCAGGCTGGATTGCAATGGCACAATCATAGCTCACTGCAGCCTGGAACTCCCCGGCTCAAGCGATCCTCCTGCCTCCAATTCCCAAAGAGCTGAGATTATAGGCATGAACCACTGCAACTCACCCAAATCCAAGTTTATACTAAAAGATAAAATTCCAACATTTCAGAGAAAATGAAAGTCACAAAGTTATCCCAGTCTCTGAAGTCACTGTCAAAACTTTGGTGAGGAATCTTCCAGGTTTTCCCCTACTTAAAATATATATTAATATTATGTAAGTAATATTAGCGGCATTTTCACCCAGGCTGGAGTGCAGTGGCACGATCTCAGCTCACTGCAACCTCCACCTCCCGGGTTCAAGCAATCCTCCTGCCTCAGCCTCCCGAGTAGCTGGGACTACAGGCGCCGGCCACCATGCCTGGCTAATTTTTGTATTTTCAGTGGAGACAGGGTTTCACCATATTGACCAGGCTGATCTCCAACTCCTGACCTCAGGTGATCTGCCCACCTTGGCCTTCCAAAGTTCTGGGATTACAGGCGTGAGCCACTGGGCCCAGCCTCCTTAACCTTTTAAAAAAGGTTAAAAGTATGCTGGGCACTTCTTTTCATAGCAATACTTAAAAGCAATCTTACTCTTTTTAATGACTGTATAGAATTTTATAATATAACTCTTCTTTGGGAGACAATTGAAATGTTCTTTATCTTCACTGTGGTAGTGGAGATGTGGGTGTGTACAACAGCTAAAATTCAACAAGTTGAACACTTTAAATAGATGCAGTTTATTGCATGCAAAGTATGTCCCAATATGATGATTTAAAAATATTATCGTCTTTGAGATTTGTACTTTGCTTATGTGAAACAAAACAAAACAAAAACCCTGTTCTTGTGCCCAGGAGACACACCCTGACACATCTGGAGGTAGAGGGTCATGCTGTCTGCAACTTACCCTCACAGGCTCTGAAATAACAATAATAGCAGTATATTTACAGATTCAGAAAGAGAGAAAGCTATAGTAAAAATGTTCATAAGTAAAACTAGATAAAGGGCAAAAATAAATAATAAAACTACGTCTTTTAAATTTTATCTCTCCTTTATTTTTTCTCTCCCCTTTTCTTCCTATCTCTTCCCTCCTTTCTTAACACGTCCCCCTATCCTTCCCTCCTTTCACCACTCTCTGCACTTGATCCCCGGTGTATTCCAGCCTCCAGGCCAACACACTTCACCGCGTCCGCCTGGGGCAGGTCAGAAAAGGGACGCGAGGCGGCGCTGTCACAGCATTCTATGCGCCCCAGCGCCCTGGGCCGCGCTGGTCTTGTATCATTTCAGTGGTCCCTCCCGTCTTTGACGGGGCCAAACTCGGGGTGTAAATTAGGATCCTCACTGAAGCGGCGGGACCCTGAGAGGCTTTTTCCTGGCCCCTTAGTTGTGGGTTTTCCTGCGGGCGGTGGAGCCCGTTTCCATCAGAACCGCCCAGAGGCGGGCGCTGCCTTCCAGGGGTGAAGTGTTTTCGGACCCCGGAATCTGTGGGCGGCCTGCGGGAGGGGCTGAGGCGCAGTTCCCTACTCACCCAGGTCCGAATCCACCGCGGTGCTGTTTCCAGCGAGTCAGATTCCAGATCGCGCTCCAGCCTGGACTCGGAATTCCTGCCCCGCGGGTCTGCATTTTCACAGCGGCAGGTGTGAGTGCCGCGCAGCTGGAGACCAGAAGCCTGAGGCAGCTCGGCCCTCCCCAGCCCAAAGTGCCGTTATTCCGTTTCTGTATCAGTAAACACGTTTCATTTTCCGTAGACCAGGGAAGGGTGATGGGTGATCCCAGTCCTCGCAGTGAATTCCGGGCCACAAAATTCAAAACGCTTGCGGGCAAAGCCGTGCGCGGTGGCTCAAGCCTGTAATTCCAGCACTTTGGGAGGCCGAGGCGGGCGGATCACCTGAGGTCGGGATTTCCAGACCAGCCTGACCAACATAGAGAAACCCCGCCTCTACTAAAAATACAAAATTAGCCGGGGGTGGCGCATGCCTGTAATCCCAGCTAGTCGGGAGGCTGAGGCAGGAGACTCACTTGAACCCGGGAGGCGGAGGTTGCTGTGAGCCGAGATCGCGCCACTGCACTCCAGCCTGGGCAACAAGAGCGAAACTCCGTTTCAAAAAAAAACAAAAAACAAAAAGCTTTCGGGCGCCGAGGGCAGCCCCGCCCTGAATTTTGTGAGCGACCGCGCTGGGCCGTTTCTCTTTCTTTTCCGGACCCTGCAGTGGCGCCTAAAGTCTGCGAGGAGGAAGTCGCCTCTGTGCTCGTGAGTCCAGGGATCTAAGGCAAGTGCTGAGGGAGAAAACATAGTTGATGGGGCAGAGCAGAGGGGGCTGGAGGTGGGGTGGAGGGGGAGGGCTTTGAACAGAAGACCTGGGAGGCTTGGTGGGGGAGGGGACCCAGGCCTCGGCGCTGAGAAGCAACTCCCCTGGAGCTCAAGACCTTCTTGGCCTCCCCTAGCCCAGGGGAGGACTGGCTTCATGTCTCCCTGAAACCGCTTCTAAATGCCTTAGAACAAACCTTAAATATTCATTATTATTATTGAACTATTAAAAGTCTTTTTTGGAGGCGAGCTGAATGAGACCCTTTGCTGGAGCTGGCACACGGAGGAAGTCCTGGAGGGAGGGTAGACACCGTGGAGGGAAGGGCTTGGGACCTGTGTCAGGAGAGCTGGGTCCATCTGCCTCTCTGTCTCAAACTATGCTTATGATCTTTAGCAGTGAAAATAATCTCTCTAAGGTGGGGACAGGACCCCAGTCCCTGCTGTGCTTAATAAATTATGAGGATCAAAATAAATTATCAGTGAATGTGTATGGGAAGACTAAGAAATTGTTAAAATTCTCGAATACATTACATTTTCATCCACAGAAAAGTGTAGGCTAGGGATGATAGGGGAATAGTTAGTAATGACAGGGATAGTTGAACTTAAAAAAAAAGGTTGTGAGGCCAACAAAAAAGAAATGGACACAGTTCCTGATCCTGGAGGGTTCATAGTCTAATGGGGGAGGAGGGTAGAAGATGGTAGGTGATGGCTGGGTGTGTGGCACTCGCCTGTAGTCCCAGCTACTCAAGAGGCTGTGGTGGGAGGATTGCTTGAGCCCAGGCATTTGAGGCTGCAGTGAGCTATAATCACACCACTGCATTCCAACTGAGTGACACAGCAAGACTCCTCTCTTAAAAAAATAAAATAAAGTAAATGAAAAAAATAAGATTCAAGACAGGGCACAGTCGGTACCATCAGGAAGGTTCAAACCATGGGCTAGATCAGTAGTTCTAAAACTTGACTACACATCGGAATCACGTAGGGAACTTTAAAAGATACTAAGGTTTAGGTCCAACCTAGGTTTACTGATTTAACTGGTTGTGGCTGTGGCCTGGGAACATGGATATTAAAAACTCTCCAGGTGGTTCTACGCAGTGGCTAGGTTTGAAGACCACTGCCTAGATGTCCCAATGACTAAGAATGTGCGCTGGGGACAAGCCAATTCTCTTAGTAGAGGCTTTCCAGACAGAATTCTTATTATTGAGAATTGAGAATTCACATGCCACACATAATTTATCGTTTTAAAGTGTACAGATCAGTGGCTTCTAGCATAATCACAAGGTTGTGCCACCGTCACCACTATCTACTTGGGAAGATTTTCTTCCTTTTTTTCTTTTTTTTTTTTTTTTTTGAGGCGGAGCCTTGCTCTGTTGCCCAGGCTGGAGTGCAGTGGCGCAATCTCAGCTCACTGCAAGCTCCGCCTCCCGGGTTGACCCCATTCTCCTGCCTCAGCCTTCTGAGCAGCTGGGACTACAGGTACCCGCCACCACGCCCAGCTAAGTTTTTTGTATTTTTAGTAGAGACGGGGTTTCACTGTGTTAGCAGGATGCTCTCGATCTCCTGACCTCGTGATCTGCCCACCTCGACCTCCCAAAGTGCTGGGATTACAGGCGTGAGCCACCGTGCCCGGACCCTTTTTCCTTTTTTTTTTTTTTTAAAGGCTAGTCAAGTGAAACAGTGGGAGTGAAGATGAAACAAAAACATCTATAACTGGTTGTGATCAATTAGTTGTAAACACCACTGCACTCAGACCAGCCTAACTGGGAAGATTTTGAGGATATGCTGTGGTCTGATGGGTTCCAAGGCAGAGGTGACAGTAACCTGGAAGAGGGAGACTGCTTAGGCAGTGGCATCCTGGTGGGATAGGGTGAGGAGATCCCAGAGCCCACGTTTACTGCAACCCTGGGGAAATGTCACCAGAGAAATGGGGGTGGTGCCAGACAATAGATTGTGGGAGCTATGGTTTCCATGGTAGAGTAGAAGCATCCACCATGTGTGACATTCAGCAGATGGGGCGCTGTGGGTGGCTTGGAGCACTCTGGTTGTAACTGAGGCAGGCACAGTGTTTAGGAAGCCTGTGCAGTAATCCAGACTGAAGGGAGGGGAAAGCCTAGACTAAGACTATGGCTGTGGGATTGAAATAGCGTTGAAGGAGCTGACTTTGACTCCCGGAGATGAAGGAGAAAGAGGAAATCAGAAGGGACCAAGGATGGTGAAGTTCTTAAGAGAAACTGAGGAGGAAGAGAGGATGATGTGGTGGGAGACGTGTAGAGAGTCCTTGTAGATCTGTCATATTGAAGGGGACTATGGTCCCAGAGGTACAGATGTCCTAAAACAGGCTGGAAAAGGGAGTCTGGAGAGAGCTTGGTGTTGTAATGAACCATGGGGAGCCGCCTCGTTGGCCCTGTGATTACCCAGGAACTGAATAGAGAGGGGGCCCTGGGAGACCTCAGACACTTAGAGGATATAAGGGGGTGAAAGGGGGGACCTGGCTTTGAGTCGAAGGGAGGAGAAGGAGATTATATAGCTGAAACGTCTAAGAGAATTTGTGATCTGAGCGTTTCTACTGGGGCAAGTGCTTCTGAAAGGCAGAGGCGGCTGAGATCTGGAAACAGGTCTGCAAATCTGGTCACTGGTCTCATTGCAGTAACGCTGTGCGCGGTTGAGGGAGTGTATTGGGAGAAAAACCACGCGTTGTCTGTCCCGGAAGGAACAAGCCAGTGAGAGCCGGCCTGATGGGAGGACCGGCGAAAGGGGCTTGGTGAAGCCCGCGCTCCTTGGGGGTGGGAATGCGGGGATGGGGTGGTCGCGATGCAGGGAGGGCGACAGGGTCCAGGTCGTGCTCATAAGTTTGGAGCTGTACTCTCAGCTACTCGGGGCTGGTCCTTGATTTTGGCTGCGCTCGCGCACGCTCCCCCTTTTCTGGCCGCCAGGTCCCGCCTTCTAAATTTCCCCAGGTCTCCAGGCCGCTAGAATTTTCTCTTCTGAACGTGGCCCCGCCCTCTCCACTCATGATTGGCCCTAAGTTCCGGGCCTCAGTTTTCACTGGATAAGCGGTCGCTGAGCGGGGCGCAGGTGACTAAATTTCGACGGGGTCTTCTCACGGGTTTCATTCAGTTGGCCACTGCTGAGCAGCTGAGAAGGTGGCGACGTAGGGGCCATGGGGCTGGGCCGGGTCCTGCTGTTTCTGGCCGTCGCCTTCCCTTTTGCACCCCCGGCAGCCGCCGCTGGTGAGTGGGGTTCCTGGCGGTCCCCGGCGGAGCGGGAGCGGCGGGGCGTTTCCGGGGGTCCGGGTGGGTTGCCGCGAGCGCTGTGCGGTCAGGGCGGGGCTCAGGTGTGCTGTCTGGAGTGCAGGGAGCTGGACGCCGCCTGTTCCCGCCACACCTCAGCCCTGCTTTCCCATCTCCCGTCTCTTTTTTTTTTTTTTTTTTCTTTCTGAGACGGAGTCTCTGTCGCCTAGGCTGTAGTGCAGTGGCGCGATCTTGGCTCACTGCAAGCGCCGCCTCCCGGGTTCACGCCATTCTCCTGCCTCAGCCTCCCTAGTAGCTGGGACTACAGGCGCCCGCCACCACGCCCGGCTAATTTTTTGTGTTTTTAGTAGAGATGGGGTTTCACCGTGTTAGTCAGGATGGTCTCGATCTCCTGACCTCGTGATCCGCCCGCCTCGGCCTCCCAAAGTGCTGGGATTACAGGCGTGAGCCACCGCGCCCGACCTCCTGTCTCCTTTCAGTCCTCCTCGGGATCGCGCATCACCCGCATTTTCTGGTCTCTCCTGCACTTGCTCTCCTCGCCTCTCCTCCGTCTCCTCTCACTTTTCGGACAAACCAGTCCTTCTGAGGCCCCTGGGTTCCCGGGCTGCTCCTGTGAATGGCATTGGAAGGCCGTTCCAGCGCGGCCGCTGAGGCAGCCACTTCCCCCGGTGCTGGGGGCGGATCTCAGGTCCCTGAAGTCCTGTCCTCTCCCGGAGCCGATGTGTTCTCAGCTCCTGGGCCGCAGCTCCTGGAGTTGGGGCCCTCCTTTCTTGGGACCCGGAGGTGGTGCTTCTTGCTGCTGTGGGGACTGTGGGGGGTCCTGACTCTCAAGCTGAGGGGTTGGAGTCTGCAGGCTCCGGGCAGAGGATTCTTCCTGCGACTTCTGTCATCCCCAGCTCATTCTCCCCTCGCCTCCGGCTCCGGGGGTCCTCTCCTCTCTCGCATCCCACCCCTACTAATGACCAATGATCTAAGGACACCAGATTCCCTCTCACCTCCTCCCTGCCCATCTTACGGCGCCCTGGGTCCTGTTGCTCTCCCAGCTCCCTGCTACCCCTTCCTGTGTGCTGTTCTCTGATCCATTTCTAGGGTGTCCTCTGCCTTCATCCCCCGCCCCCGCCACTGAAGGTCCCTCCTGCCTCCTTTATGGGCCTTTCCTGCAAGCAGCCTTCACTCCGTGCTGCCCCTATGCCTCCCCATTCCCAAATGTCCCTGACTCTAACTTTCTGGTGCTGCCTTTTGTCCGGGGGGGTCTTCCCTCCATCCCACTCCCCTCCAGACCCCCAAGGAGAGCCCTGATGCTAATGGCAGTTGGGCCTTAGGCAGGGCGCAGGGCAGCGCAGATGCCCCCTCCCCTCCAGTGCAGGTGCCTGCTCTGGGCCCTGCCTCATTGTGGCCCCTTCCCCACTCCTTCATCCTCAGCCTCACCCTCTTGAGGACCCCACCCTCCAGCCCACAGGTGCTGGACCATCCCTCCCTGGTCCCTCCGCCCCTCTCCACCTTGGGACCTTGTGCTGCTCCTATCTCTTGCCCAGCTGCCTGGGGCCCTCAGCAAGTTCTCATCTTTCAGTGGGAAAGTGGGAGTGCTGGAGCATATGACAGTGCTGAGAATCTTTCCCAAGCCCCACCCTCCCCCAGAGCACCCTCCCCTCCTGTCCTCACCCTACCCCAAGTTCTCCCACAGTCACTCCTGCCCCATGCTCATGCCGCCCTCCAGTTCTTGCTCTGCCCATCTCCCCTCCCCAACCCAGACCTAAAACAGGCTGTTGGGCCAGCTGTTCCTTGACCTTCCTTCTTTTCTTTTGGTTCCTTGACCCCAGTGGGCTCTCACTCCCCACACCGCATATCTAAAATCTGTTTTGCCTGCTCTTGGGGTGCCACTGCTCCCCCTCCAGCATTACTCCTTTTGGCAGGTCCTTCCTCAGGCTGAGAATCTCCCCCTCTACCTTGGTTTTCTCTCTCTGGCCAGCACCCCCACCCCTTGCTTTGTTTTTAATTTTTAACTTTTGTTTGGGTACGTAGTAGATATGTATGTATATATTTATGGGGTACATGGGATATTTTGACACAGGCCTACAATATGTCATAATCACATCAGGGTAAATGGGTTATCTATCACAACAAGCATTTATCCTTTCTTTGTGCTACAAACAATCCCATTATGCTCTTTCAGTTATTTTTAAATGTACAATAAATTATTGTTGGCTGTACTCACCCTGCTGTGCTATCTACTAGATCTTATTCATTCTAACTATATTTTTGTACCCATTAACCATCCGCACTCCCCCACTCCCCACTACCCTTCTCAGCCTCTGGTAGTCGTCATTCTATTGTCTCTCCCCATGAGGTCCATTGTTTTAATTTTTGGCTGCCACAAATAAGTGAGAACATGCGAAGTTTGTCTCTCTGGGCCTGGGGCTTATTTCACTTCACATGATGACCTCCAGTTCTTTGCAAATGACATGATGGCTGAATAGTACTCCACATACACGTGTGCACCACATTTTCTTTCTCCATTCGTCTGTTGATGGACACTTAGGTCGCTTGCAGATCTTGGCTATTTTGAATAGTGCTGCAATAAACATGGAAAAGTAGATAGCTCTTTAATATACCGATTTCCTTTCTTTTGGGTATATGCCTAACAGTGGGAGTGCTGGAGCATATGACAGCTCTATTATATTTTTAGTTTTTGGAAGAACCTCCACATTATTTCCCACAGTGGTTATACTAGTTTACGTTCCCACCAACAGTGTACAAGGGTTCTCTTTTGCTACATCCTCGCCAGGATTCCTTATTGCCTGTCTTCTGGATAAAAGCCAGTTTATCTGGGGTGGGATGATATCTCGTAGGAGTTTTGATTTGCCTTCATCTGATGACGAATGATGTTGAGCACCTTTTGATATACCTGTTTGCCATTTGTATGTCTTCTTTTGAGAAATGACTATTCAGATCTTTTGCTCATTTTTAAGTTGGATTATTAGATATTTTTCCTATAGAGTTGTTTGAGATCCTTATATGTTTTGGTTACTAATCCTTTGTCAGATGAATAGTTTGAAAATATTTTCTCCCATTCTTGGATGGTCTCTTCACTTTGTTTATTGTTTCCTTTGCTGTGCAGAAGCTTTTTAACTTGATATGATCCCATTTATGCATTTTTACTTTGGTTGCCTCTGCTTGTGGGGTATTACTTAAAAAATCTTTGCCAGTCCAATATCTTAGAGAGTTTCCCCAATGTTTTCTTTCATAGTTTTCATAGTTTGAGGTCATAGATTTACATCTTTAATCCTTTTTGATTGGATTTTTATATGTGGTGAGAGATAGGGTCCAGTTTCATTCTTCTGCATAAGGATATCTAGTTTCCCCAGCACCATTTATTGAAGAGACTCTCCTTTGCCCTGTATGTGTTCTTGGTAACTTTGTTAGAAATAACTTCACTGTAGATATATGGATTTGTTTCTGGGTTCTCTATTCTGTTTCATTGGTCCGTGTGTCTGTTTTTATGCCACTACCGTGCTGTTTTGATTACTCTAGCTCTGTAGTATAATTTGAAGTCAGATAATGTGATTCCGCTAGTTTTGTTCTTTTTGCTCAGGGTAGCTTTATCTATTCTGGGTTTTTTGTGATTCCATATACATTTTAGGATTGTTTTTCTATTTCTGTGAAGAATGTCATTGGTGTTTTGATAGCAATTGCATTGAATTTGTAGATTGCTTTGGGTAGGATGGATATTTTAACAAAATTGATTCTTCCGGCTGGGCACGGTGGCTCACTCCTGTAATCCCAGCACTTTGGGAGGCCGAGTCAGGTGGATCACTTGAGATCAGGAGTTCAAGACCAGCCTGATCAACATGGGGAAACCCCGCCTCTACTAAAAATACAAAATTAGCCAGGCGTGGTGGCATATGCCTGTAATCCCAGCTACTCAGGAAAGCTGAGGCAGGAGAATCGCTTGAACCCAGGAGGCAGAGGTTGTGGTGAGCTGAGATTGCACCATTGCACTCCAGCCTGGGCAACAGGAGCAAAACTCCATCTCAGAAAATAAAAATAAACATTGATTCTTCCAGTCCGTGAACATGGAATGCCTTTTCCATTTTTTGTGTCCTCTTCAATGTTTTGCATCAGTGCTTTATAGTTTTTATTGGAGAGATCTTTCACTTCTTCAGTTAAGTCTATTCCTAGGTATTTTATTTTATTTGTAGCTAATGAAAATGGGATTCGTTTCTTGATTTCTTTTTCAGATTATTTGCTGTTAGCACATAGAAGTGCTATTGTTTTTTGCATGTTGATTTTGTATCCTGCAACTTTACTGAATTTGTTCTTCAGTTCTAATAGTTTTTTGGTGGAGTCTTTAGGTTTTCCAAATATCAGACCACATGATGTGCAAACAAGGATAATTTGACTTCTTCTTTTCCAATTTTGATGCCCTTTATTTCCTTCTCCTGTCAGATTGCTCTAGCTAGGACTTGCAGTATTGTGTTGCATAACTGTAGTGAAAGTAGTCATCCTTGTCTTGTTCCAGATCTTAAAGAAAAGGCTTTCAGTTTTCCCCCATTCAGTATGTTACTAGCTGTGAGTTGTCATATATGGCTTTTGTTATATTGAGGTCTGTTCCTTGTATACTCAGTTTTTTTAGAGTTTTTATCATGAAGGGATGTTAAACTTATCAAATGCTTTTTCAGTATCAATTGAAATGGTGATATGGCTTTTGTCCTTTATTCTGTTGATACGATGTATTACATTGATTGATTTGTGTATGCATACCTGGAATACATTCCACTTGGTCATGAAGAATGATCTTTTTAATATACTGTTGAATGTGGTTTGCTAGTATTTCATTGATGATATTTGCCTCAATGTTCATCAGGGATATAGGCCTGTAGTTTTCTTTTTTTGATGTGTCTTTGCCTGATTTTGATATCAGGATATTCCTGGCTTTGTAAAATGAGTTTGGAAGTATTCCCTCCTCCTCTGTTTTTCAGAACAATTTGAATAGGACTGATATTTCTTGTTCTTTAAACGTTTAATTGTGGTAAATTATACATTACATACATTTTACTGTTTTAACCGCTTTTAAGTGTATACTCGGTGGCATTAGATACATTCACATTTTTGTGCAACCCAAAACTCTGTACCCATTAATCAGTAACTCCCCATTCCTCCCTACCTCTGGCCCCTGGTAACCATCATTCTACTTTTTGTTTCTATGAATTTGACCACTCTAGGTACCTCATTTAAGTAGAATCGTGTAATGTTTGTCTTTTTGATTCTGGCTTATTTCACTTATAATATTTCGAGGTTCATCCAGGTTGTAGTATGGGTCAGATTTTCATTCCTTTTAATGATGAATAATACTCATTATATGTATGTACCACATCTTGGTTATCCATTCCTCAGACAATGGACACTTGGGTTACTTCTACCTTTTGGATATTGGCAAATATTTCATTTCTCTTGGGTATATATTTATTTCTTTTGAGTATTTCTTTTGGGTATATATCCAGAAATAGAATTGTTGGATCATACGGTATTTCATTTTTTAATTTTTAGAGGAATCACCATAGTGTTTTCCATTGCAGGCGTGCCATTTTGTATTTCTAGAAGCAGTATACAGGGGCTTCAGTTTCTCTACCTCCTTGCCAAACTTGCTGTGTGTGTGTGTGTGTGTGTGTGTGTGTGTGTGTGTGATAATAGCCACCCTGATTGGTTTGAAGTGGTATCTCATTGTGGTTTGGATTTGCATTTTCCTAATGAGTACTGATATTGAGCATCTTTTCATGTGTTTATTGATCATTTGTATATTTTCTTTGAAGAATTGGCCATTGAAGTCTTGCCCATTTTTCTCCCCCACATAGCTTCTCATGGCTATTTTGCCCATTTTTGAGTGGGTTGACTGTTTTGTTGTTTTTGTCAAACTTTTTTGCATATTCTGGAAACTAATCTCTCTCTTTTTCTTTTTTTTTTTTTTTTTTTTTTTTGAGATGGAGTCTTGCTCTGTTGCCCAGGCTGGAGTGCAGTGGCACGATCTCAGCTCACTGCAAGCTCCGCCCGCTAGCTTCATGCCATTCTCCCGCCTCAGCCTCCCGAGTAGCTGGGACTACAGGCGCCCGCCACCACACCCGGCTAATTTTTTGTATTTTTAGTAGAGATAGGGTTTCACCATGTTAGCCAGGATGGTCTCAATCTCCTGACCTGGTGATACACCCGCCTCGGCCTCCCAAAGTGCTGGAACTACAGGCTTGAGCCACCACGCCTGGCCTTCTGGAAACTAATCTCTTATCAGATATATGACTTGCAATATTTATTTCATTTCAGGGGTTGATTGCTTTCTCACTCTGATTGTGCCCTTTGATGCACAGATATTTTGAATTTTTCATGAGTCCAGTTTGTCAGTTCTTTCTATTCTATCTGTGCTTTGGCGTCATATCCATGAAAGCACTGTCAAACCCTATGTCATGAACATTATACCCAATGTTTTTTTCTAAGATATTTTTATGTTTTAGTTCTTGAGTTTAGAGTTTAGGTCTTTGATTCATTTTGAGTTAATTTTTGTATATAGTACAAATTAAGGGTCCAATTTTATATTATTTGAACATCCAGTTCCCCCAGCACTATTTGCTGAAAAGATGGACTTACTCTTTGAGACCCTGTCACCTGCCCACCCCAGTGGACACTAGCTGGTCCATCCAATTGCTGTCCTGGGGCCTTGTCATGCTACTCTTCCACTTTGGACCCAAGCCCACATCATTGCTCCCCTCTGGGATACTGACCCCACTATAAACTTCACTGGGGCTACAACCTTCCTACCCCTTGTGCCTCATGACCACCCCCTCCCTTGTCCCCACCATGCCCATGATGAGTCTTTTCTCAAGGCAGCTCGCCTTGCCTCCATCTCACCCTCACCTGTGCACCACAGCCACACTGGACATGGGTCCCTCTGAGCCTGAGTCCCTTCCCATTCCCACTGTCCCCTCTGGCAAGACCTTCCTTCCAACACTGCCTTCATGCTCCTCCCTTGCCCCTGCAGGGCAGCCTCTCCCCTTGGCCCCTATTCCCTTAGGGGGCTTGTGGCCACCCAGTCCTGGCACCTGACCTACAAGTTTGCCATCTTCATTCCCCCTTCTTCTGTTCATCAGCCCCCTCCTCTATCCTCCCACCCTCACAGTTTTCCTTGTATATGAAATCTTCGTTCTTGTCCTTTTGCCCATGCGCATTTCCTGCCTCCTCAGGGAGGTCGGGACAGCAGACCTGTGTGTTAAACATCAATGTGAAGTTATTTCCAGGAAGAAGTTTCACCTGTGATTTCCTCTTCCCCAGAGCCCCACAGTCTTCGTTACAACCTCATGGTGCTGTCCCAGGATGGATCTGTGCAGTCAGGGTTTCTCGCTGAGGGACATCTGGATGGTCAGCCCTTCCTGCGCTATGACAGGCAGAAACGCAGGGCAAAGCCCCAGGGACAGTGGGCAGAAAATGTCCTGGGAGCTAAGACCTGGGACACAGAGACCGAGGACTTGACAGAGAATGGGCAAGACCTCAGGAGGACCCTGACTCATATCAAGGACCAGAAAGGAGGTGAGAGTCGGCAGGGGCAAGAGTAATGGGAGGCCTTCTCCAGGAAAGTTGGAGACAGAGAGCAGGGACCTGTCTCTTCCCGCTGGATCTGGCTGGGGGTGGGGATGAGGAATAGGGTCAGGGAGGCTCAGCAGGGTGGTGAGCCGGAACTCAGCCCACACAGGGAGGCATGGAGGAGGGCCAGGGAGGGGTCGCTGCTGGGCTGAGTTCCTCACTTGGGTGGAAAGGTGATGGGTTCGGGAATGGAGAAGTCACTGCTGGGTGGGGGCAGGCTTGCATTCCCTCCAGGAGATTAGGGTCTGTGAGATCCATGAAGACAGCAGCACCAGGGGCTCCCGGCATTTCTACTACGATGGGGAGCTCTTCCTCTCCCAAAACCTGGAGACTCAAGAATCGACAGTGCCCCAGTCCTCCAGAGCTCAGACCTTGGCTATGAACGTCACAAATTTCTGGAAGGAAGATGCCATGAAGACCAAGACACACTATCGCGCTATGCAGGCAGACTGCCTGCAGAAACTACAGCGATATCTGAAATCCGGGGTGGCCATCAGGAGAACAGGTACCGACCCTGGCCAGGGGCTCTACTGTTCCCGCAATTCTGCTAGAGTTGCCTCGCCTCCCAGCTCTGTCCGGGGAAACCCTCCCTGTGCTATGGATGCAGGCGTTTCCTGTTGGCATATTGTGTCCTGATTTGCCTCTCCTGTTAGAGCCATTGGATAAAGACAGTGGGTCTGGGACTGAACTGTCCAGTGTTGTAATCTGGGAAAGCAGTGGGCCCTCTGACAGAAGCCTGAGCCTGGTGTGGGAGTTAGGCAGGAGAGGAAGCCCTCAGGGCCAGGGCTGCCCCCTCTGCCTCCCGGCCTGCCCATCCCGGAGAGTTCCCTCCTGGCCCCATGACCCAGGAGTCCACCCTTGACATCCCCCTCCTCAGCATCAATGTGGGGATCCCAGAGCCTGAGGCCACAGTCCCAAGGCCCATCCTCCTGCTAGCCTGGAGGAATTAGGCCCCAGGGTGAGGACAGACTTACAGAAGGTCCGGTATCTGTGAGGGATTCAGCCAGAGTGAGAACAGTGGAGAGGAGCAGCCCTGTTCCCTGCATCTCCCTTAGAGGGGAGCAGGGCTTCACTGGCTCTGCCCTTTCTTCTCCAGTGCCCCCCATGGTGAATGTCACCTGCAGCGAGGTCTCAGAGGGCAACATCACCGTGACATGCAGGGCTTCCAGCTTCTATCCCCGGAATATCACACTGACCTGGCGTCAGGATGGGGTATCTTTGAGCCACAACACCCAGCAGTGGGGGGATGTCCTGCCTGATGGGAATGGAACCTACCAGACCTGGGTGGCCACCAGGATTCGCCAAGGAGAGGAGCAGAGGTTCACCTGCTACATGGAACACAGCGGGAATCACGGCACTCACCCTGTGCCCTCTGGTGAGCCTGGGGTGACCCTGGAGAGGGTCAGGCCAGGGTAGGAACAGCAAGGACGGCTGTGGCTCTCTGCCCAGTGTATAACAAGTCCCTTTTTTTCAGGGAAGGCGCTGGTGCTTCAGAGTCAACGGACAGACTTTCCATATGTTTCTGCTGCTATGCCATGTTTTGTTATTATTATTATTCTCTGTGTCCCTTGTTGCAAGAAGAAAACATCAGCGGCAGAGGGTCCAGGTGAGAAAAGGGGACAGTTTCTGGAGATGGGAAAGCTCCTTTCTAGGCAGTAGGGTCTCCTCATTGCTCCTGCCCAGACAAGACGTAGGTGACAAGGCTGCTGGGACAGGGGATGGAAGCTGGGGTATTTGGGAGGGGAATGGGAGCTGCATCTCCATCTACACCCATAAGTGCTTCCCAAGCCAGGGCTGGGGCAAGGCCTTCGAATATCCAGCTGTGGCCTCCTCCTGCTGCAAGTGAGGAGTGGGCAGCAGGGAGGGCTGTGGCACCTGCTCTGTCCCCATCCCAGCCTCTCTGTCTCTCGGGCTCACTAGGGTGCGTCCAGGTGGGGTGAGTTGGGAATCACGTGCTGATTGCTGAGGGCCTGGATGATCATGGTGTCAGAGGGAGGAAATAGTAAAGGTGGCTGTGATCTGGGGAGGGCCAGAAACTGGAGAGGAATCCAAGGAGAGGCGATGCCCACCCGTGTGCCTCCTCCAGGAGGCACTTTCCAGGTTCCCACTACCTGGCCTCCCTGAGTTTCCTTGCAGATGACACAGATGAATAGATAAGCAGATGTCCCTGGGCCATTTGAGGAGCGGGGCCCAGCCCCTCATCAGGGCAGATGTGGTCCCTGTTTTCATCCTACCTCCAGCGTGTTTTCTTCTGCAGTCCCTGAGGGACACAGTCCCCAGGCGCCATCTCTTTGAGGCTTTGTTCTGTGCTCTGTGGCCTTACCTTGCCCTCCCTGAGCCAATTTCCCTTTCTCAAGGTGGTCACTGCCTGGTAAGTTTGGAGTAAGGGACAGTCAGAAGCATTTCCCCCACAGTCAGGTTGTTTGATGGGAGATGAAAAGAGACAGCAGAAGTTTTGTGTTTCTGCAAAAACAGAGGCAGTGCAGGGGACAGTGAGAGGCTGGGGTGTCCAGGAGACCTGAGTCTGGCGGTAGGGGCGCTGGTTTCTCATCCTTGAACCTAGTTGCACTGTCAGTCGGCCCCTCATGCCTGAGCAGATGGGAAGGTTCGTCCCCTGCCCTGCAGCAAGAGGGCCCCATCCAGGAGGCACCCACAGCAGGGGCAGTGCAGGTCTGTGGTCACTCCTGCTCTCACCTGCGGCGTCTCCCGTGGAGGGATTGTCACTTCTGGTTCCCTGTGGGCAGGAATGGTTTCCTCGTAGGTCACTGGGGTTTTGGCCAGGAAAAGGGTATGAAATTCATGTGCCAGTTTCTCAAAATTCCTGCTTTCAATGTTGATGTCCAATAAAGATGTTCGTAATTTCAGCTCTATAATCTTAATAGGATTTCCTCTAATACTGCTGTTGTAAAGCATATTAAATAAAACAGGAACTCAAATTTGGAGCCCCCTCTCCAGAAGGGTCTGTGTGGAGATGGTGGCTGTGGCAGCGGCAGTTCCCAGGTGCAGAGGGTGGGCAGAGGCAGCCTCAGGCTAAGGGGTCTCCCCTACTCCACGTGGAGAAAAGTCCTTGTAGGTTGCAAGGGCAGTGGCCTGGGTGGAATCCCTGCTAGGGACAGAGCAGGAAGGCCTCACAGCCTCACCAAGCAGCAGCCCTGGGGTGAAGTAAGTGGACCAGGAGTAAGTGGACCAGGCAGGAGCAGTAGTGACTCAACAGCAGGTCACAGGCCTAGGTGGGTGCTGAAGGTCATGGGAGGCCAGGCCTCCTCGAGCAAGGTGGGGGGTCCCAGGGTCAGGTCAGGTGCAGATCCTGTGGCAGCCACGTCTTTCCATGCTGGGCCTGCTGGGCCCCCCAGGCTTCCTGATGGGGTCCCCAGTTAGGAGCTGCCTGCTCAGGGCTGGGAGGGGAGGAGTGCTGAGCTGCAGATAGAGGGCAGGGCCCACAGTGGGCAGGGCCTGCCCTGGTGTGCAGGTGCCTCTGCAGGAGAGAAGGGCCTGGGGACTGAGAGCAAGGGTCAGGGCCTCTCTTTGGGGAGGCCTCTCACTGTAACAGGACTGGTCAGGCCTGAGAGGAGGGCACTGGGTTCCCTCTTGGGTCTTGTCCTTTTGTCTTGGGGCCCTTTCACTCCCTGCACGGTGAGTGGTGGGCACAGGACAGGGGCTGATGTTGATGGAGTGATGGGAGAGAACTGACAGGGGCTGGGAAAAGCAAGGAGGGAGGAAGAAAAAAGTGGGGGCCTCATCTTCTCTCAGAGAAAGGGCGAATCTGATTTTGGGGCAACTGAAGAGAGAAAAGTCCTTAGGGAATAAACACAACACTGCACCCAGTGGAGCATTTACCCGTTTCCCTCTTCTCCAGAGCTTGTGAGCCTGCAGGTCCTGGATCAACACCCAGTTGGGACAGGAGACCACAGGGATGCAGCACAGCTGGGATTTCAGCCTCTGATGTCAGCTACTGGGTCCACTGGTTCCACTGAGGGCACCTAGACTCTACAGCCAGGCGGCCAGGATTCAACTCCCTGCCTGGATCTCACCAGCACTTTCCCTCTGTTTCCTGACCTATGAAACAGAGAAAATAACATCACTTATTTATTGTTGTTGGATGCTGCAAAGTGTTAGTAGGTATGAGGTGTTTGCTGCTCTGCCACGTAGAGAGCCAGCAAAGGGATCATGACCAACTCAACATTCCATTGGAGGCTATATGATCAAACAGCAAATTGTTTATCATGAATGCAGGATGTGGGCAAACTCACGACTGCTCCTGCCAACAGAAGGTTTGCTGAGGGCATTCACTCCATGGTGCTCATTGGAGTTATCTACTGGGTCATCTAGAGCCTATTGTTTGAGGAATGCAGTCTTACAAGCCTACTCTGGACCCAGCAGCTGACTCCTTCTTCCACCCCTCTTCTTGCTATCTCCTATACCAATAAATACGAAGGGCTGTGGAAGATCAGAGCCCTTGTTCACGAGAAGCAAGAAGCCCCCTGACCCCTTGTTCCAAATATACTCTTTTGTCTTTCTCTTTATTCCCACGTTCGCCCTTTGTTCAGTCCAATACAGGGTTGTGGGGCCCTTAACAGTGCCATATTAATTGGTATCATTATTTCTGTTGTTTTTGTTTTTGTTTTTGTTTTTGTTTTTGAGACAGAGTCTCACTCTGTCACCCAGGCTGCAGTTCACTGGTGTGATCTCAGCTCACTGCAACCTCTGCCTCCCAGGTTCAAGCACTTCTCGTACCTCAGACTCCCGAATAGCTGGGATTACAGACAGGCACCACCACACCCAGCTAATTTTTGTATTTTTTGTAGAGACGGGGTTTCGCCAAGTTGACCAGCCCAGTTTCAAACTCCTGACCTCAGGTGATCTGCCTGCCTTGGCATCCCAAAGTGCTGGGATTACAAGAATGAGCCACCGTGCCTGGCCTATTTTATTATATTGTAATATATTTTATTATATTAGCCACCATGCCTGTCCTATTTTCTTATGTTTTAATATATTTTAATATATTACATGTGCAGTAATTAGATTATCATGGGTGAACTTTATGAGTGAGTATCTTGGTGATGACTCCTCCTGACCAGCCCAGGACCAGCTTTCTTGTCACCTTGAGGTCCCCTCGCCCCGTCACACCGTTATGCATTACTCTGTGTCTACTATTATGTGTGCATAATTTATACCGTAAATGTTTACTCTTTAAATAGACATTTCTGGTCTGTGTTTTATTTCATGCGTCTGGGAGCGGATAAAGTGTGAGGTTCAGGGAGAAGGAGAGGTCTGTCTCAATGCCTTGACCCAGCATCAAAGCAATCTCCCCTCCTTGTTCCCTTTCCCTGCTAGTTCCCAATGACTGACAGATTCACAGCAGAACAGAAAGGACTGGGAAGGGATGGAGGTGGGACATCTGGCGCCAATATTCAGGGGCTGACCCTGTGAGGGAACATCTGCCCTGAAGAGTTGGAGCCTTCATGTGATGACACAGAGATCTCTGTCACTGTATTCAGGGAAAGGATCAAGCCTCACTCCCCATGCAGGGAGGAGGTTCTGGCTGTGATCCGGCCTGTGGGAGAAGTGAGGACCCGCTCCCTCTACAGTGACAGCCAAGAACCTGCAGGTGACAGAGAAGGCTTCCCCTCAACTGTCTCCTATCAGGTTCTTCCAGGCATCAAGGAATAGACCTGGGACATTGCCTCCAGTGACATGAACACACCCAGAAGTGAGGTGGCCCTGCCAGGGGGTCCTGGTGCTGCCACTTGTTTTGGGAGCTCAGTGTCTGGAGAGGGGTGTGGAGAGTAGGCTTTCTGCAAAACAGTAATCATGACCTATAAATTATTTTATTCTTCATTAGCTTTTTGCCATAAAATAAAACAGGTACCCAAAAAGAAAAACTGTCTGAAAATGTTGCCCTTTAATAATAATAATAAATAATAATAATAAAAGATAAACACTCTTTAACCACCAGAGATATAGAAGTTTGTCAGCCAGCCCAGAAACCATCATTTGCCCCAGCTCAGTGATAAAGGCTTCCCTTCCCCACATAAAATCACAGCCTGACCTTTATGATGATTGCTTCTTTGTTCTATTTTATATTTTCATCCTCTGAAATTGTAGTTTAGTTTTACCTTGGGATGTATAATTTTTGTTCTCTTTTTTCTTTTTTTTTTTAAGACGGAGTCTCACTCTGTCACCCAGGCTGGAGTGCAGTGGCATGATCTCGGCTCACTGCAAGCTCCGCCTCACGGGTTCATGCGATTCTCCTGCCTCAGCCTCCCGAGTAGCTGGGACTACAGGCGTCTGCCACCACGCCCGGCTAATTTTTTTGTATTTTTAGTAGAGACAGGGTTTCACCATGTTAGCCAGGATGGTCTCAATCTCCTGACCTCATGATCTGCCTGCCTCGGCCTCCCAAAGTGCTGGGATTACAGGCGTGAGCCACCGCACCTGGCCTGTTCTCTTTTTTTCTCTATGCTCCTCCTTGAAATTTTATTGTCTGGCTGAGTTTTCCATAGTTTGCATTTTGCTGGCTCCACCCCAAGGCATAGTTTAATATGGACCTGTTTTATCTGTACTTTCTACAAATTGGTAGTTGGCTACAGAGATTTGCTTATAGACTGACTTGATTTTCTTCTTGAATACTTCATTTATGGCACTCCATTGTATTCTTCCATCAGGAGGAAGAACTTAGTACTGGTTATTTACTTCTACTCTACTTTTAATTGCCATTGCTTTTCAATGGCTAAATCTGTTAATTCGTTATGGGTTGCAAAAGAATTATAGTCTCAGTCTCTCATTCCTTCCCCATTCACTAGCTGAATAATTTCTAAAATAAGAGATTTACCCTTGGCTGGATGCGGTGACTTACGCCTGTAATCCCAGCACTTGGGGAGGCCGAGGCTGGTGGATCACCTGAGGTCGGGAGTTCAAGACCATCCTGACCAACATGAAGAAACTGTGTCTCTACTAAAAACACAGAACTAGCCGGGAGTGGTGGCGCATGCCTGTAATCCCAGCTACTCGGGAGGCGGAAGTAGGAGAATTGCTTGAACCGGGAAGGCGGAGGTTGCAGTGAGCCGAGATGGCGCCATTGCACTCCAGCCTGGGCATCAAGAGTGAAACTCCGTCTCAAAATAAATAAATAAATAAAGTGGAGCACTTGACGGCCATGGGAGAGAATCGGCTATGACCACACACAGCAAGATGATGAGCCCAGCAAAGATGATGAGCCCAACTACATGAAAACAACTTCTAATTTCATTCAATCAGAACCAACAGAACTCATCTACAGTGTTAAAAATCAAGACAGTGGCTACTCTAGGGTGGGGGAGGCTGGTTTATGACTCAACGGTGTTTCTTGGAGGGTGAAAATGATGTTGCTTGATGAAGGTGTTGTTTATCCGAGTTTTTACTTGGGCAAAATCCACTGCCCACCTGTGATTTGTCCACCTTTCTCCATGCATGTTGTCCTTCATTCAAGTTTACATTTCTGGTGTTTTGAAACAATTCTCTCTAAGCTAATATAGAATTTCTCCTACTCCAAGTCCTTAGAAATGCTGCATTGAAAATACCAGTGAATTTTTTTTTAATTCCAGGAAATAAATGCCCATGACTCAGATATAAAAAGGAGAATCTACAAGAGCAGTAGGCTTGGGAGCTGACACCAGAACAGCTTTGGAAAGGGCTGTCGAGCCAGGAACTAGGAATCAAAACCCAAACAAGACCACAGGAGGTAGAGGGTAGAAATTATGCCCCAGTAGTGCATGAATGAATGAATCAAGGGCAGTGACTCATGGGTTGCCTGGCCAGTCTGGAACTTGGGGAAAATAAAGTTGGAAAATTGGCGGATGGAAGAGAGAAGTGTGCACTGACCACTTTCCATGGGAAGAGCATGTGAAGATAGAGGTTGCATATGGATGCCTGCCAGAGGGTCTCCAAGGGGCTGGGGCTCCCTGTAACCAGGTGAGCGAGATGGCTTGATGGATGATGCCACTCAGCCGCACAAGGCTTGCTCATGAGTCCCTGCACAAAGTGGCCGTGGTGGCTGGGATGGACACTGCATGGACAGAGCAATTGAGTCACCACTCACCAAGGCTGACCTGGCAGCTGCCACTGCTGAGGACCCAGCCTGCCAAAAGCAGCTGTTTCTTTGAACAGAGAAAAAAAACAGACAATGTTAATTAAGAGCAAGACAGTGTTATGACAGATAAATATGCCACTGCAGCTATAGTAGAGATGTAAACAATCTTGAAATTATAAAAAAAAAATGTCGATGGAAAAGACTTACTGCAAGTAAGAAGTTAAAACAGTTGTAAAAATTCTATCTCTGCCCAACTATATACAGATTGTTTCACAGGGAAGTCCTACTAAACCTTCAAAGAAGGTTATTGGACTTATTTAAAATATTCAAGAGAATGGAGCAAAATACAGAAAGCTAGGCAACTCACTTTATCAGCTATGAATAGTGTTAATTCTAAAGCCAGTTAGGGAACAAATAATAAAGAAACAAGATAGGAAAATCACTATTAGTAATTAGATGTAAAATAGATGAGAAAAATAGTAGACTGTGTCCATCAGTGTGCTATAAACAAATTAAATATCTTGACCAAGTTATGAATCCCAAGAATAAAAGAATATTTAAACTTTAAATCTTTTAATGCATTTTAACACTTAATTCAATAATTTAAAAAGAGACAATCATATTTCACTAGATGTAGAAATCACTGTAGATGAAATCTAACACTACACCTGACCTACATTTCTTCAGTTATCTCCACTTTTAAGAATTTGTGATCAGTGCAGCACTATTCACAATAGCAAAGGTAAGGAATCAACCCAGATGCCCATCAACAGTGGAATGGATAAAGAAAACTGCGGCACAGGGCCAGGCGCGGTGGCTCACGCCTGTAATCCCAGCACTTTGGGAGGGTGAGGCGGGCAGATCACGAAGTCAGGAGTTCGAGACCATCCTGGCTAACACAGTGAAACCCCGTCTCTACTAAAAATACAAAAAATTAGCCGGGTGTGGTGGCGGGCACCTGTAGTCCCAGCTACTCGGGAGGCTGAGGCAGGAGAATGGCATGAACCCAGGAGGTGGAGTTTGCAGTGAGCCGAGATCACGCCACTGCACTCCAGCCTGGGTGACAGAATGAGACTCCGTCTCAAAAAAAAAAGAAAAGAAAAGAAAACTGCAGCACTTATACACCATGGTACGCTACCCAGCCAAAAAAACAAGAACGAAATCATGTCCTTCACAGCAACATGGATGGAGGTGGAGACCATTATTCTAAGCAAATTAATGTAGGAACAGAAAGCCAAATACCACATATTCTCACCTATAAGTGGCAGCTAAACATTGAGTACACATGGACACAAAGAAGGGAACAATAGACACTGGGGCCTCCTTGAGGGTGGAGGGTGGGAGGAGGGGGAGGATTAAAAAACTACCTATTGGGTATTGTGCTGATTACCTGAGTAACAAAATTATCTGCACACCAAACACCCGTGATACACAATTTACCCATGTAACAAACCTGAATATGTATCCCTTGAACCTAAAAAATCAAAAAGAAAAAAGTAAAAAAGAATTCCTGATCAGATTGAGCCAGGACAATGGCCGGGCGTGGTGGCTCACGCCTGTAATCCCAGCACTTTGGGAGGCCGAGGCAGGTGGTCAGGGTAGGCCTCTTGGAGGAGCCATGTGAGCAGACTTGAGAAGGAGAGACACAGCCATGCAGATATTTGAAGGAAGAACCTTCCAGTATCCCGCTCTAAGCATACCCAGGACTCTGCTCTGGGGCAGACCCTAAAGCTGCAGTGGAAATGGAGGTGGCCACACTCACAGAGACTGTGGCAGAGAGTGATGGGGATTTGGGTCTCCCCTTCCTGCTGTGGCTGTTAGAAGTGCTGGAGTTGGGGAGGGAAAGGCACTGGCATGTGGAGGAAGACTAGGAGAGGAGGGGAGGCTGAAGTGTGTCCCACTCTCACTCCACCTCTCTGTTCTCTATCTCCTGCATCCGGTGCCTCCCCGACTTCCCCAAAGTTGTGGTCCCTGACAAGGAAGACCCTGAGGGCAACCACACCTTGCCATGTAGAGCACCTGGCTTCTCACTTGCCAACATCACTCTGACCTGGCTGCAGGAAGGGGAGGAGCCAACTCTGGACTCAAGACTCAAGGGGACCAGACCCAGGAAGATGAGACATATCAGGGCTGGGCAGCTGTGGGGGGCCCTCCCAGAGAAGGCCTGAGATACACCTGCCTGCAGGTGCTCCTGGGCCTGGAGAAGCCCCTCAGTGTGACTAGGTGAGGTGTTGTCAGAGGACCAGAGGCTGAGGGTGGGGTGTCCCATCCAGATCCTGCCCCTCTCTCTGCCCCAGCACCCAAGGCCCCTTCCTCCCTCCTCTATGGAGATGCTGGGGATGTCCTCATTCTCCCTCTGAGCACTCACATCTCACCCCTCATCTGTCTCTCTAACCTCCTTCCTTCCTGCTGCAGCTTCTGCCCCAGCCCCAGGCTCTGGCCTCTCTCTCCCCAGTTCCACCCTCCAGGGGGTGATGGTTCACTTCCCTCTGAGGAGCCAGCACTAGGTGAGAGGCTAGGAGAAGGAAAAGCTCATGGGCCATGGGTTGGGAGGGAGAATGGGCACTGAAATGGAAGGGTAGGGAGACAGAAGAGGCAGGTATTTCCAAATCACCATTTTTCTGTCATGGTCCAAGGGTGCCATCCTTCTCCCAGGCCCAGGGATGTGGAAAGAGCAGCAGGAATTGGGAAATACTCCACAGGAAAGAACAATGTGCCTCCTCCCTCCACCGGCTTCTTCCTCTTGCCTATTCTGGTCAATTCTCTAAGTGAATCATGTAACCAAAATGTGAAATGTTTATTTTAGGAAAGTCTCCAAATATTAGGGAATAAAATTACTAGTGCCTAAGCCCTGCATACTGAAAAACAGAAGCTTTAAGAAATAAAGACCTGCATGGAAAATTGCTCATCAAGTCGGGGAAGTCAAAGTCTGAGCTGAATCAGCTCTTTTTTTCTTTCTCTCTCTTTTTTTTTTTTTTTTTTTTTTTTTTTGAGACGGAGTCTTGCTCTGTCGCCCAGGCTGGAGTGCAGTGGCATGATCTCAGCTCACTGCAACCTCTGCCTCCCCGACTCAAGCAATTCTCCTGTCTCAGGCTCCCAAGTAGCTGGGATTACAGGCATGAGCCACCATGCCCAGCTAATTTTTGTATTTTTCAGCAGAGACGAGGTTTCGCCATGTTGGCCAGGCTGGTCTCAAACTCCTGACCTCAGGTGATCCGCCTGCCTCAGCCTGCCAAAGTTCTGGGATTACAGGCATGAGCCACCATGCCCAGCTGAATCAGCTCTAAAGTGGTGCTGAAGTGAGAGCCATTTATGTGCCTGTGTGAGTTCACACAGGTCTTGAGACCTCTGTGTCCTCCTTAGAAGAGTGAAGTGAGCACCCAGTGCCTAGACCTTGGTTGTGCTAAGTCATTCTCTGATAAAAGGATTCAGGGCTCCATAGAAAAACAGCTGATTCTAGGGCTGGCATAGGAAAAATATAAGGTGAGCCTGGAACATCTTGTAATGCCAGAAAGTAACCGCCACCCATCTCCCAACCCTCACCACCAAAAAATAAGGGCATGTCAGAGGGACACAGGAGTCAGCCTGAAAGAGCTCCCTATGGACAAAGCCGGAATAATCCGAGCAACAAAGTTACAATAGTATTGGATTATGACCCAAAATATAAATAAATATTCATTCCACACTGATTTATTTAATCAAAAATAATTAAATAAATAAATAGGGAAGAAGGGGCAAATCTTCCTTACAGAAGAATTTCAAAACATATATTACGAGAATCTCTTTCCCAGGAGATTGGAATTTTATTTCTCTCACCTTGAATATGGGCTGGACTTGCTGACTTGCTTCCAAAGACTAGAGTATGAAAAAGGAAAAATAATAACTTTACAGTGGAGAAATGTAGCAGACACTACCAAGCAATCAGAGTCATGTTAACATCTTGCCCCCCAGAAATGATGTGATGAGGACACTCCCCTCTATGGTATTCTTCCCTTAAACCCATAACCCCAATCTAATCATAAGGAAGCATCAGGCAAACCCAAAGTGAGGGACATCCTACAAATTATCTATCCAGTATTCTTCAAAACTTTCAAGGTCATGAAAACAGGTAAAGACTGAGAAACTCATGATCAGAAAGACTAGGGAGACCCAAAAGCTAAATGCATTAATGGGCCCTGGAAAAACTGGTGAAGTCCAAATAAAGTCTACAGTTTAGCGAATAGTATTATAGCAATGTTAATTTCTTAGTTTCTTAGTCTTGACAGAATTTTGTTAGATGTTAACATTAAGGAAAGCTGGGGTTTATGGAAACTCTGTGTTCTAGCTTTGCAACTCTTTAAATCTATTATTGTTATTGTTATTGGGTTTTTTTGTTTGTTTTGTTTTTGTTTTTTTTTTGAGATGGAGTCTCGCTCTGTCGCCCAGGCTGGAGTGCAATGGCGCGATCTCAGCTCACTGCAACCTCCACCTCCTGGGTTCAAGCAATTGCCCTGCCTCAGCCTCCCCAGTAGCTGGGATTCCAGGCACCCATCACCACGCTCGGCTAGTTTTTGTATTTTTAGTAGAGATGGGGTTTCGCCATGTTGGCCAGGGTGGTCTCGAACTCCCGACCTCAGGTGATCTGTCCGCCTCGGCCTCCCAAAGTTAAATCTATTATTATTCAAAACAAATTTAACTAAAAGTGAAATGAAGCTAGGTACAGTAGCTCATGCCTGTAATCCCAGCCCTTTGGGAGGCCAATTTAAGCCCAGGAGTTTGAGAGAAGCCTGGGCAACATAGTGAGACCTTGTCTTATAAAAAAAATTAATTTAAAAAATGAAATGAATAGACATATATTAAATTAAATCGATAATTAATAACATTCAGAAACAGAAAACATCAGCCCCAAATGGGTTTACTGATAAATTCTATCAAACATTTAAGGAAAAAATTATACCAATTTTCTATAATCTCTTCCAGAAGACATACTTTCTTTTGTTGTTGTTGTTATTCAGTGTTAATTTCATAATCATAAACTTAATGCTGCAATCCAGCTAGGCATGGAAGGGAACAAGGAAAACATGAAACCCAAAGGGAACTGCAGTGAGAGCACAAAGATTCTAGATACTGCGAGCAGATGGATGGAGGGTGTTCTCCTGAGCTACAGAAGCAATGGTCTAGTGGTTAAGATAAAACACAAGTCAGGCCGGGCGCGGTGGCTCACACCTGTAATTCCAGCACTTTGGGAGGCTGACGCAGGTGGGATCACCTGAGGTCAGGAGTTCAAGACCAGCCTGACCAACACGGAGAAACCCCGTCTCTACTAAAAATACAGAATTAGCCAGGTGTGGTGGCGCATGCCTGTAATCCCAGCTACTCGGGAGGCTGAGGCAGAAGAATCGCCTGAACTCAGGAAGCAGAGGTTGCAGTGAGCCGAGATGGCGCCATTGCACTCCAGCCTGGCAACAAGAGCGAAACTCAGTCTCAAAAAAAAACACAAGTCAAACTTAGTCAAGTTGTGTACAGTCAGCGATGGTGATCTTCTTGATGGTCTTGCCATTCCCAGACCCAAAGTGCTCCATGGCCTCCACAATATTCATGCCATCTTTCACCTTGCCAAAGACCATGGGCTTGCCATCCAACCACTCAGTCTTGGCAGTGCAGATGAAAAACTGGGAATTGCCCGGGCTAGGTGGCTCATGCCGTAATCCCAGCACTTTGGGAGGCCGAGATGGGCAGATCACCTGAGGTCAGGAGTTCAAGACCAGCCTGACCAACATGGTGAAACCCTGTCTCTAATAAAAATACAAATATTAGCCAGGCATGGTGGTGCATGCCTGTAATCCCAGCTACTCAGGAGGCTGAGGCAGGAGAATTGCTTGAACCTGGGAGGCGGAAGTTGCAGTGAGCCAAGATCGCGCCACTGCACTCCAGCCTGGGCGACAGAGTTAAGACTCCATCTCAAAAAAAAGAGAAAAAAGAAAAACCGGGAATCATTTGTGTTGGGTCCAGCATTTGCCATGGACAAGATGCCAGGACCTGTATGCTTTAGGATGAAGTTCTCATCATCAAATTTCTCCCCGTAGATGGACTTGCCACCAGTGCCATTATGGCGTGTGAAGTCACCACCCTGACACATAAACCCTGGAATAATTCTGTGAAAGGAGGAACATTTATAATCAAATCCTTTCTCTCCAGTGCTCAGAGCACGAAAGTTTTCTGCTGTCTTTGGAAACTTGTCTGCAAACAGCTTGAAGGAGACACAGCCCAAGGGCTCACCATTGACAGCGATGTTGAAGGACACGGTGGGGTTGACCATGGCTGATAGTATGGGGCTCCTGATGGTGGCGTCTGCAAAGCCAAGACAGACACTTTCTATCTCATTTCATGAGGCCAGGATTCCATGAGGGAATACTTTCTAACTAATTCCATGAGGCCAGCATTAGCCAAATACCAAAATCAGATGAAGACTTCACAAAAAAAGAAAACCACAGACCAATATCTCTCATGAACATAGGTGCAAAAATCCTCAGCAAAATGCTAGCAAATCAAATCCACAATGTATGAGAAGAACAATACACCATGCCTAAGTAAGATTTATCCCAGGTATGCAAAGTTACTTCAACATTGGAAAATCAGTTAATGTAATCCATTAAATCAACTGGCTAAAGAAGAAAATCACATGATCATATCAATAGAGGCAGAAAAAGCAATTGACAACATCCAACACCCATTCATGATGATTAAAAAAAAAAATCTCTTAGCAAGCTAGGAATAGAGAAGACCTTACTCAACTTGATAAACAACATCCACAAAACATCCACAGCTAACATCACACTTAATGGTGAGAAACTAAAAGCTTGCCTGCTAAGATCAGAACAAGGCAGGAATGACCCTCTCAACACAGCTTTTCAACGTTGTACTGGAAGTCCTAGCTAAAGTAGTAAGACAAGAAAAGGAACTAAAAGGTATACAAATTTGGAACAAGAAATAAAACTGTCTTTGTTTACAGATGATATGATTGTCTATGTAGAAAATCAAAAAGAATCCACACATAAAAAACTCCTGGAACTAACAAGCAATTATAGCAAGGTTGCAGGATATAAAGTTAATATGTAAAAGCCAATCACTTTTCTATGTATCAGCAATGAGCACGTAGAATTCGCCATTTAATTTTTTTTTTTCAAGACGGAGTCTTGTTCTGTCGCCCAGGCTAGAGTGCAGTGGCGCGATCTCAACTCACTGCAACCTCCTCCTCCCAGGTTCAAGCAATTCTCCTGCCTCAGCCTCCTGAGTAGCTGGGATTACAGGTGTGCCCCACCATGCCCAGCTAATTTTTGTATTTTTAGTAGAGACGGGGTTTTACCATGTTGGCCAGGCTGATCTCGAACTTCTGACCTCATGTTCTGCCTGCCTCAGCCTCCCAAAGTGCTGGGATTACAGGCGTGAGCCACCGTGCCTGGTCCAGAATTTGCCATTTAAAACACAATACCACTTACATTAGCACCCCCAAAAATGAAACACTTAGGTACAAATCTAAGAAAATATGTACAAGATCTATATGAACAAAACTACAAAACTGACAAAAGAAATCAAAGAACTAAACAAATGGAGAGATATTCCATGTTCATAGTCAGGAAGGCTCAATACTGTTAATATATCTGTTCTTTCCAACTTGATCTGTGGAATGAATGCAATCTCAATAAAAAACCTCAGTAAGTTATTTTGTGGATATTAACAAACTGATTCAAACTTTATATGGTGAGGCAAAAGACCTAGCCAGCACAATATAGGAGAAAAATAAAGTCAAAGACCACCACTACCTGACTTAGACTTTCTATAAAGCCATAGTAATCAAGACAGAGTGGTGATTAGCATAGCCATTGTGGGAAACAGTATGGAGGTTCTGCAAAAATTTTAAAAATAGAAATACCACATGATCCAGCAATCCCACTAATGGGTATATATCCAAAGGATATGAAATCAGTACGTTGAGATATTTGCACTCCCATATTCATTGCATCATTATTCTTTTTTTTTTTTTTTCCTTTAGAGATAGAGTCTATGTTGCCCAGGGCAACTCCTGGCCTCAAGCGATCCTGCTGTCTCAGCTTCCCAATTATCTGGGATTATAAGCACGAGACACTGCACCTGGCTGCAGCATTATTCTCAATAGCCAAGATATAGAATCCACCTAAGTGTCCATCAATGGATGAATGGATAAAGAAAATGTGGTATATATAAAAAATGGAATACTATTCAGCCTTAAAAAACAAAATCCTGTCATTTGTGACAACATGGATGAACCTGGAAGACATTATGTTAAGTGAAATAAGCCAGGCACAGAAAGACAAATACAATCTCACTTATATGTGGAGTATAGAAAAAGCCAGACTCATAAATAGAGAGTAAACTGGTGGTTATCAGAGGCTGGGAGGTCGGGGAATTGGGGAGATGTTAGTCAAAGAACACAAGATTTCAGTTAGGAAGAATAAGTTCAAGAGATCTATTGTACCTTATGGTGACTAAACTTAATAACAACATATTGTGTATTTCAAAATAGTATGAGAATAGCTTTAAGCATTCTCATCACATACACACAAAATATGTATGTGAGGTAATGTACATATTATTAAATTGTTTGGTTTATCCATTCCACAATGTGTGTGTATGTATGTGCATATATATATAAACATGATGTACACCACAAATGTATAAAATTAGTCAATCGAAAAATTAATTTTAGAAAGACAGAGTGGCATTGGCAAAGAATAGACAAATTGATCCACTTGAGCAGAATAGAGAGCCAAGAAATAGTCCCACATAAATACAAGGAGCAAAGACAATACAATAAAGATAGTCTTTTCAGCAAATGCTGCTGGAACAACTGGACAGCCATGTACAAGAAAAATGAAAAGAGCTCTCTTAAAAGGTTACTGTGAAAGCCACCTGTGACAGTAACAGAAAGTGCCCAGCAGGGTCTCTGACACTTAGTAATGTAATCTCTCTCACTGTAATGTAATGGCTAAACTTCAACATCCCTCAGCCCCCATCTCCATAAGACTTTCCCATAGAGGCAACAATGATTCCTGTCAGTCACCCAGTCCTGCCAATCCACTGGGTAGGATACAATATTGAGGGGCCCATCAGCACACTGGCCTTAGGGGGCTCTGCAGCCCCTTGACCTTGTGGATGATGCTGGCCTTAATCTCCTCTTGTCCGTGGCTAAAGACAGGCCCCTTCTGCGGAGACCAGGCCAGAATGCTCATCTGATTAAGACTCTATATTAAGAGTCAGGAATAACAAAAACAACAATAAATAAATAAACACAGTAACATAATCTATGTGTCTTAGTCCGTTTCCTGCCGCTATAACAGAATACTACAGACTGGGTAATTTATTTTGTTGTTTTTTCAGACAGGGTCTCTCTCTGTCGCTCAGACTGGAGTGCAGTGGCATGATCTCGACTCACTGCAACCTCCACCTCCCAGACTCAAGTGATCCTCCCACCTCAGCCTCCTAAATAACTGGGACCACAGACCCGCACGACCACACCAGCTAATTTTTGTGTTTTTTTGTAGAGATGGGTTTTGCCATGTTGCCCAGGCTGGTCTCAAACTCCTGGGCTCAAGCCTTCCACCCACCTTGGCCTCCCAAAGTGCTGGGATTACAGGCTTGAGCCACCACACCCAGCACAGACTGGGTAATTTATAAAGACAATAAATGTTTTTCCCACAGAGCTGGAGGCTGAGAAGTCCAAGAGCATGACACTGGCATCTTATGAGGGCCTGGCTGCAGTATCATCCCATAGTGAGAGGTGGAAGGGCAAAGAGGCTGAACTGATTTCTATCATGCCATACAATGGCATTAATCTATTCAATCTAATCAACCCTGAAAGGTCCCACATCGGCTGGGCACGGTGGCTCATGCCTGTAATCCCAGCACTTTGGGAGGCCAAGGCAGGTGGATCACCTGAGGTCAGGAGTTCAAGACCAGCCTGACCAATATGATGAAACCCCGTCTCTACTAAAAATACAAAAATTAGCTGGGCGTGGTGGCATGTGCCTGTAATTCCAACTACTCAGGAGGCTGAGACAGGAGAATCACTTGAACATGGGAGGCGGAGGTTGCAGTGAGCTGAGATTGTGCCATTGCACTCCAGCCTGGGCAACAAGAGCGAAACTCCATCTCAAAAAAAGAAAAAAAAAAAGTCTTGCATCTTAATACCATTAGGATAGCAATTAAATGTCAACATGAGTTTTGGTGGGGACATTCCACTTTAGCACTAGGTATTCTGGTTTATGTATTTTTTTAGCTTAATTCCTTCATTTCTACAATTATGAGATCCACGATTATCCACTATATTTGGTTTTCTTTCTTTTTGGTTTTGTTTTTTGTTTTTTGAGACAAGAGTCTCGCTCTGTCGCCAGGCTGGAGTGCAGTGGCATGATCTCAGCTCACTGTAACCTCTGGCTCCCGGGTTCAAGTGATTCTCCTGCCTCAGCCTCCCGAGTGGCTGGGACTACAGGCGTGCACCACCATGCCCGGCTAATTTTTGTATTTTTAGTAGAGACGGGGTTTCACCATGTTGGCCAGGATGGTCTCGATCTCTTGACCTCATGATCCGCCCGCCTCGGCCTCCCAAAGTGCTGAGATTACAGGTGTGAGCCACTGCGCCTGGCCTCATCCACTATATTTGAACCGACCCAAAGGCCAGTGCTTTCTTAATTAAGTTCCCACAGGTGAACAAAGCCAAAATTCAGATTCTATTTTATTTATGGTTTAGAATTACCTACTGTGAAAAAAAAAAAAAACTAGCTACTATAAATTATTGGGGGTTAGTCCATTTAGTCCATTTTGGAGTTCATAACCTAAAGCAGAAACTCACATGGTTGAAATGTCACTTTCCCAAAGGATTGTTATTAGTGTATCATTTAGATTGTCTTGCAAAAGTCTCATTTGTTGTTTTTTCTAAATGGCTGCTAATCTTTTAAATTAACAGATAGAGGGCCAGGCACGGTGGTTCACACCTGTAATCCCAGCACTCTGGGAGGCTGAGGCAGTCGGATCACTTGAGGCCAGGTGTTCAAGACCAGCCTGGCCAACATGGTGAAACCCTGTCTGTACTAAAAATACAAAAATTAGCTCGGCATAGTGGCACACGTCTGTAATCCCAGCTTCTTGGGAGGCAGAGGCATAAGAATTGCTTGAACCCGGCAAGCGGAGGTTCCAGCAAGCAGAGATTGTGCCATTGCACTCCAGCCTGGGTGACAGAGCATTGCTCTGTCCACCTCCCAAAAATGTAGTTAATTTTTTTTCTTTTCTTTTTTTTTTTTTTTTTTTTTTTTTTTTTTTTTTTTGAGAGACGGAGTCTTGCTCTGTCGCCCAGGCTGGAGTGCAGTGGCACAATCTCAGCTCACTGCAACCTCCGCCTCCCAGGTTCAAGCAATTCTCCTGCCTCAGCCTCACAAGTAGCTGGGATTACAGGTGGCTACCACCACGCTTAGCTAATTTTTTGTATTTTTAGTAGAGACGGGGTTTCATCATGTTCGCCAGGCTAGTCTTGAACTCCTGACCTTAAGCGATCCCCCTGCCTCGGCCTCCCAAAGTGCCGGGATTACAAGCATGAGCCACTGCGCCCGGCCAACTTTCAATGTTAATTAGTTGTGGTTTGTTTAACCATATACTGCATAGTTTCGCTTATCTATAATAACAGTAGTTTGGGGCTCTTATATTCTAATAATTAAGACTTTAGCTGTGTACACATTGCAATTAAAGTATGAGTCATGCATAACCTTATCACCAAGATACAAGAGGGAAAGCCCTTCTCCCCTTAAACTTTTACAAAGGTTCTGGGTTCTTTTTCCACTTAAGTGGGAAAAAGTCAGCTAATGAGGAACGTAAAGTCTTTGGCCTCATCTAAAGGTGCTTTGGCCCGCAAGTGTGAGAAGCACTGACCGCTGGGAAGTCCTCACTGCCTGGTTCCTGGACTCTTACACCATGGCAGAGGCCATCTTCCCTCCCAATGCAGAGTGATATCCAGATAGCGAGCTGGCTAGCAGCTGTCCACTCTCCAGCAATCCTGCCTTCTGGGGCATGGTTTTCTAAGGACCTTCCTGTTCCTAGATGATCAAAATTGGGACCAGCCACTCCCTTCTGAGCCACTCCTGCCTCTGGGCCTGTGGCTATGTCACAGTCCAGTCACAACAGGACATCCCTTCAGAACACCCTGCAGGAAGCTGACATCTCTATGCAGACTCACACATGCACGGTGTGTGCACAGGCCTTTGGTTCTACTTCAGGAGGTGTTGGGGGAGGCTCACTAGTCCAACAGAACTTGAGGCCAGTTGTACCAGTGTCATATCCCAGGAGCCAAGGTTACAAGGGATACAAAGTGCCCAGACCTACCAGAGAAGGCAAACCCCTACAGCATGCAGGGCTAGACAGGGGCAAGAAACAAGGTCATTCTGGGCCAGCAAGAAGAGGGAAAGGGAAATGACAGGCATACCTCGGAGATACTGAAGATTTGTTTCCAGACCATAGCAACAAAGTGAGTCACACAAACTTTTTAGTTTCCTATTGTGCATAAAAGTTATGTTTGTACTATATTGTAGTCTGTTAAGTGTACAGTAGCATTGTGTACAAAAAACTGTGTATATACTTAATGGAGTCTCGCTCTGTCACCCAGGCTGGAGTGCAGTGCCACGATTTTGGCTCACTGCAACCTCCGCCTCCTGAGTTCAAGCCATTCTCCTGCTCAGCCTCCCAAGTAGCTGGGACTACAGGTGCCCATCACCATGCCCAGCTAATTTTTGTATTTTTAGTAGAGATGAGGTTTCACCATGTTGGCCAGGCTAATCTTGAACTCCTGACCTCAAGTGATCCACCCACCTCGGCCTCCCAAAGTGCTGGGATTACAGGCGTGAGCCACTGTATCTGGCCATATACTTTAATTTTAAAATACTTAATTGCTAAACAAATGCTAACCATCATATGAGGCTTCAGCTAATCCTGATCTTTTTGCTGGGGGAGGGTCTTGCCTCCATGGATCAGGGGCATGGCTGCTGAAGGCTGCTTTGACAACTTCTTAAAATAAGACAATGATGTTTGCCATTTGCCGCATGGATTATTCCTTTCAATATTGTTGTGCCTCAGGGAATAGGGAGGCCTGGAAAGCAGAGTCGGGAGAATGGCCAGTTGGTGAAGCAGTCACAACACACACATTTTTCCATTAAGTTTGCTGTCTTATATGAGCATCGCTCATGGTGTCCCAAAACAATCACAATAGTTAACTTCAGTAACTGATTACAGGTCACTGTAACAAGTATAATAATGAAAACGCTTGAAACATTTTGAGAATTCCACAGCGTGACATGGAGACATGATGTCTGCCTGCTGTTGGGAAAATAGCACCAATAGACCTGTTTGATGTGCTTGACACAGGGTTGCCACAAGCCTCCAATCTCTAAATAAAAAACAGCATCTGCAAAGAGCAATAAAGGGAAGCACAATAAAAGGTACATCTGCAAAGGGGAATCAGCACTTAAGCAAGGTCAGGATGAGCTTTCAAGTCAGGTGGACCTAGACATGAACCCTCCAGGCCCTACCAACAACCAGCTATGGACCTTCGAGCACATCCAGCCTAGAGCTGCCCCCAACAGACACTTCCCCAGTGAATGCTGAATGAAACCATCTGAGCCAGTTTCCTCAGGTGCAAACCAGTGAGGTAATTCCTACCTTGCAGAGTGAAGTGAGAAAAGACAGTGTTAAGAAATGCCGGGTGCGGTGGCTCACGCCTGTAATCCCAGCACTTTGGGAGGCCAAGACGGGCGGATCATGAGGTCAGGAGATCGAGACCACCCTGGCTAACACGGTGAAACCCCGTCTCCACTAAAAATACAAAAAATTAGCCGGGCGTAGTGGCGAGCACCTGTAGTCCCAGCTCCTCGGGAGGGTGAGGCAGGAGAATGGCGTGAACCCGGGAGGCAGAGCTTGCAGTGAGCCCAGATTGCGCCACTGCACTCCAGCCTGGGCAACAGAGCGAGACTCCGTCTCAAAAAAAAAAAAAAAAAAAAAAAGACACAAGACCTGTGGTAGCCTTTCCTTTCTGTCTGGCAGCAGCCACTGGGTAAACCAAGATGGTGCATACAAGTACATCCAGAAGCTATGGAAGAAGCAGTCTGATGTCATGAGCTTTCTTCTGAGGGTCCGCTGCTGGCAGTACCACCAGCTCTCTGCTCTCCACAGGGATCCCCGCCCCACCCAGCCCAATAAAGCACGCTACTGGGCTACAGCCAAGCAAGGTTATGTTACATATAAGCGCCACGGTGGCTGAAAATCTAGTTCCTAAGAAGGCAACTTAACAGCAAGCCTGTCTATCATGGTGTTAACCAGCTAGTTTGCTTAAAGCCTTCAGTCTGTTACAGAAGAGCAAGCTGGATGCCACTGTGGGGCTCTGAGTCCTGAATTCTCACTGGGCTGGTTAAAGATTCCACATACAAAGTTTTTGAGGCTATCCTAGTTGATCCATTCCATAACACTATCAGAAGGAAACCTGACACCCAGTGGTCCACAACAAGCATAGGGAGATGCGTAGGCTATCTGCAGGCCAAGAGAGCCACGGCCTTGGAAAGGGCTGTAAGTTCTACCACACTATTGGTGGTTCTCGCCATGCAGCTTGGAGAAGGTGCAATACTCTCCAGCTCCACAGCTACCGCTAATGTTTGTAAAATTCATACCTAATAAACACTAGATCAAAAAAAAAAAATCACAGACCTGTGGTAGGCTGGGCACCAGTGCTCTAAAGCAAGTTCTGCCTAAACTGGCAGGGACATTTTTCACATCAGGAACAGGAGTTGTTCCTGGACTCTGTCTGGGGCCAGGCTGGGAGAGACGTGGGGCAGAGTGGGGCAGGGGCAGGGGCAGGGCTGGGGGCTGGGGCCTGGGCAGGGCCAGGCACTCAAGTGAGGCCAAGTCCTGGAGCGAACCAGTTCCTGGTGGCCGTTGGACAGCTCACACAGCTCCCTGCCAGGTCACCCGCCATGGTCCTCCCTCTGCCCTGGCTCTCTCGGTACCATTTCCTTCGCCTCCTTCTGCCCTCCTGGTCCTTGGCACCCCAGGGCTCCCATGGGTGCTGCTCCCAAAACCCCAAAGCAAGCATGGAAGAGCAGACCAGCTCCAGAGGAAATGGGAAGATGACGTCCCCTCCCAGGGTAAGTGGCACCACAGGTAGGAACAGAGGGTGTGAGAATTTACACTGGGGTGTGGGAAAAAAAAACCCTCAATCCCACCCTGCACCACCCCACACCATGCCTACCCCTGCAGCTCTTTTCTTAGTTCAGCTACCAACTCCTCTCCCCACCTCCCCCAGCCCAGACCTCAGGGTTCCCTTCCCTCACCCCACCCCCACCCACAACAGCACAGTCCACAAAGTCCTTGAACAGGATCTATTCCCCCTCACCTAACAGTTAATTATTTCTTAGCGGGGAGGAGCAGCTGATCCTCTTTCCAGTGACCCCATATCCTTGTTCAAGGAAGCCAGTTACAGCCCCTGGGCCAGGGAACTCTATTTGCTCCCCCTACTACCACCCAGAGGCCTATGCCCAAGACAGGAAGCTACCTGGCCTTCTCAGTACAGGTGTCCTTAAACGACCGGTTCAAAAACGAATAGGGAAGGTGGAATTTCTCACTTCCAGCCACAGCCTGCAACAAAGCTTCCCAGGGCCTCAGCCCCCTGCCCTGGCTGATGCTCCCTCCCTTAATTCCCTGACCAGGGCCCTGGGACCCACCGCACAGCTGAGCTGGCCCGAGCTGAAGAGTTGTTGGAGCAGCAGCTGGAGCTGTACCAGGCCCTCCTTGAAGGGCAGGAGGGAGCCTGGGAGGCCCAAGCCCTGGTGCTCAAGATCCAGAAGCTGAAGGAACAGATGAGGAGGCACCAAGAGAGCCTTGGAGGAGGCGCCTAAGTTTCCCCCAGTGCCCACAGCACCCTCCGGCGCTGAAAATACACGCACCACCCACCAGGAGCCTTGGGATCATAAACACCCCAGCGTCTTCCCAGGCCAGAGAAAGTGGAAGAGACCACAAAGCGCAGGCAATTGGCAGGCAGTGGGGGAGCCAGGGCTCTGCAGTCTTAGTCCCATTCCCCTTTGATCTCACAGCAGGCAGGGCACCCAGGCCTTATAGGAATTCACCCTGGACCATGCCCTAAAATAACCTCACCCCAAATACAATAAAGGGACGAAGCACTTATAGATACCACAGACACATGTGTTTCATTTTTAGTTTTGTTAAAAAAAAATTCTGACAAATCAGAAATGGGGGTTCAGGAGTGGTGGTGATGCAAAAGATGGAAGCCATGGGGTGGGGGCTGTCAGGGGTGGGGGCAGTAGTGTCTCCTTCACCCCCACCCTGGTGTCCTCTCCTGAAGGACAGACGGTCACATTCCAAAATGGGCGAGTCTTCTACCGTGTCTGTTCAACTGAGAAGAAAACGTAGCATGGTCAGAATAAGGCATGAAAAGGGGAAAGTGAGGCAGGAACACACGGCACACATGCAGACACTGGTGTACTGCCTGGGTTCAGAGGACGGACGTGGGGGTGAGGGAAGGGATGTAATATGATGAGAGAAGACAAGACACCCCACATAAAGGTCAGAAAAACATCCCAACACAGCATCAAAGACCAGGGGGCATGAACCAGTCAAGTGTCCATTATGCATCAGATGCCCATGACCTATGTGATGGGATTTCGGACAAACACACTAAGGAACAGGGAGGACCTAAAGGGTTTCATGAGATCAGTACTCACTGTAGGAGGAGATGTCTATCTCATCAGGCAGCTCACTAATATTGACCTCAAAGCGATCCTGCACATCATTGAGGATCTTGGCATCATTCTCATCGGACACAAATGTGATAGCCAAGCCCTTGGTGCCAAACCGGCCTGCTCTGGCCACCTGGAGGGAGACAGAGGGTAGCACTGGAAGACCGAAGAGGAAAGAGACCCAGAGGCAGGAATGAAGATGTACAAACAGAAAACAAGGGAATGGGAGAGTGGGATTTTTTCAGCCTGTGAGGTTTACCCGATGCAGGTAGGTGTCAGAATCCTCAGGCATGTCATAATTAAAAGCAATGTTCACCCGCTCGATGTCCATGCCTCGGCCAAATAGGTTGGTAGCCACAAGAATTCGTCGTTGAAAATCTTTAAACTGCTGATACCGAGAAAGCCTTTGTGAGAAAGGAAATTTAAAACATGTTGAGATTCCCTTCTCTCAACTGTCTTTTTCTCCCAAGGACACAAAATATCTTTCCCATCTTCAGCTCACCTCTCCTCCTGGGGCATCCCACGGTGGATGGCAATGGCTGGGAAGTTCTGCTCCACTAGTAGCTGGGCCAAGGCAATGCACCGCTGCACAGACTTCACAAAGATCACCACCTGTTGTGGGGTGGGGTGGGGGGTCGCAAATTGGGGGAATAGGGGTCCATGGTGTGTGAGAGACATTACGTGGGAGAGGGGAGTTTCTAGTAATTACGTTCTCAGGAATTCCTCTTCATTTCTCTTATTCCCCCACTATATATTTAGAGCAGAAAAGGAAATATAACTTTACTTCAGCACTGATTTTTCCCTAAGGAAGCTGGCCTCTGAGGTAGCACAGAGTTCAGAAATCAAAATTGCCAGACATGCTAGGAGATGAGGATGAGATCACCTCATGAAAAAGTGATAAAAAACTAGAATTAAGATCTGGAGGGGTAACTGATATTCCTGCTCACCAAAACATTAAACCTAAGGGAGCTATCCTAATTCTAGAAAGCAGTTTTAAATGCAAATAGACCACTCACAAGTATATTAATTAAACACTTTTTTGAGATGGGGTCTCACTCTGTCCCCCAGACTGGAGTGCAGTGGTGCAATCGCAAGTCACTGCAGCCTCCACCCTCCTGGGTTTAAGAGATCCTTCCACCTCAGCATCCCAAGCAGCTGGGACCACAGGTGCACACCACCACGCCCAGCTACTTTTTTTATTTTTTATTTTTACTATTTGTAGAGACGGGCGTCTCCCTATGTTACCCAGGCTGGTCTTGAAGTCCTGGGCTCAAGCAATGCTCCTGCCTCAGCCTCCCAAAGTACTGGGATTATGGGCATGAGCCACTGCCCTGCACCCAGTCAGAAATGCTTCTCTTGAATAAGCAGTTATTAGAGGAATTAAACATTCAAGAACCCTAACATGCCCCCAAACATCGTTTCAAGACTTTTAACAACTTCCTAAAATCCTTCAAGGACTTTTGGAGACAAGATCTCACTCTGTTGCCCAAGCTGGAGCACAGTAGTGCAATCATAGTTCACTGCAGCCTCAATTTCCTGGGCTCAAGCTATCCTCTCACCTCAGCCACCAGAGTATCTGGGACTACAGGCATACACCACCACACCTGGCTAATTTTTTTCTTCTTTGGTAGTGATGAAGTTTCGCCATGTTGCCCCGACTGGTCTCAAACTCCTGGACTCAAGTGATCCACCTCCCTCAGCCTCCCCAAGTGCTGGGATTACACACATAAGCCACCGTGCCTGGCCAAGGATCTTAATTTTTGAAGTTTATTTTCCTTGAGGTTATTGAGGACATACCCGTGCCAGCCATAGAATAGAAAAGCAGCTCCCACCTTACTCATGCTCAGCCCCTAAGATATTTATACCCTCATTATTCTCTCCCACATCACACATGTGATTTCCTCAATAAAAGTGTACTTAATATCCAGGTTTCTGCTACAGCTGGAGTGCTCCAATGCTCATCCCCCTACTGGACGTCTAACTGACCTGGTTGAACTCAAGGACATCCAGAAGGTCAAAGAGCTTCCGGTTCTTCTCGTTGTCCTTCAGTTTCACGTAGTACTGCTGCAACCCATGCAGCGTCAACTTCGTCTCATCATCCACGAAGATCTCCATTGGCTGGGGGGGAGGAAGGGGGTGGGGAACGGGAGGAGGGCAGAGTGGGGGGGTTAAACCTGGGGGGGTGGAGGAAGTTGATCTCCAATACACCCCATGGGGGGATGGGGAGGAAAGAGAAGATTGAAAACCCCACCCCACTCCCAAAAATACCCACATTTTACTGTGGTCTCTCTCACATTACATCTAATTTCCTTCCTATCAGATGAGTTTTAAGACTGCCCAACTAAAAACTATCATGGGAAAGAAACTGCAAATGAAGTCAAGGAGCAGTGAAACCACCCAATGGCACAGATGCCATTACCTCAAATAGAGGTGGGAGAGGAAAGAAAATGGGAGATGATTCTCAAAGGGAGAGCAAGGACCAAACATCTGGGAAATGATGGGAGGCAGTGACTCAAGGTCAGAATAACTCCATCAGAGGTGCTTCTAAGAACATGGGGTGGGGGGAGGACAACTGCTCCATTTGATTCTCCTACTTCAACTAAGAGAATCTCGTGTGCATTAGCAAAGTGGATGTCTTTTAAGATCAGAATGCTGCAATGGACAGTCAAAATGCCACTTAAGGAGAAACAAAAATTACTCAAGATGAGTTACTTGCCGTCAGACCACAACAGGATAGTTTTAGATGAGACTGGTCTCTTGACTAAGAATTAAACCATCTACAGGTTTACAGGAAAGGTATCAGTAAGTGGTGTTAAAATACCAAATTCAGAGCAGCAGATACACTTTTAAGGGACAGGATCTCACCATGTTGCCCAGGCTGGAGTGCAGTGGCTATTCACTGGCACAATCATAGCACACTATAGCCTCAAATTCCTGGGCTCAAGTGATCCTCCTGCTTCAGTCTCCTGAATAGCTGGGACTACAGGCACACACCATTATACCTCACTGCATTCATCTTTAAAATTAAAAAACCCCCTGAAGGGGAGGAAAGTAACAAAGACAGAAATTACCACAACTCCAAAGCCCAACTTTCCTAACACTTTTTATACTATCCTGGGGGAAGATAGTTAATATGAAGACCCAGAGGACAAAATAGGAAAGGATGCGTGTGTCATGGGAAAAAAACCAGAAGCCCAATCCCAGAAGGCAGGTTTTGTTTTTTGTTTTGTTTTGATACAGGGTCTCTCTCTATCACCCAGGCTGGAGTACAGTGGCACAATTACAGCTTACTGCCACCTCCACGTCCCGGGCTCAAGCAAACCCTCCTGCCTCAGCTTCCCAAGTAGCTGGGACTACAGGCATGCGCCACCACGCCCGGTTTTTCTGGTAGAGACAAAGTCTCACTACACTGCCCCAGCTAGTCTCAAATTCCTGGGCTCAAGCAATCCTCCCACCTTGGCCTCCCAAAGTGCTGGGATTAGAGGTGAGCCACCAGGCCCAGCCAAGGCAGGCTTTCTAAAGAGAAGTTCCATGGCCTCCTTCAAATCTCATTCTAGCCCCAAATACAGCTAAAGAGTGATCATCCCACGGGAAGGAACACTGCAGGGAGGGGAAGAACACACTCCACTGCTTATGCAATTGGCCCCACCTAGCCCCAAACCCTAACAACCACCCGATTACATCCACTTTACCTTTCCTATGTCCCTCTCCTCTGAGTATTAAAAAAAACAAAAAAATTTTTTTAAGAAAAAAAATCTACCACCCCATTCAGGACACCCCTCCCCAACACATATTGGGGGAAACGGGGCACGGCACGCGTTGGGTTCAGGAAAAAAACCGGGAACGGAAAAAGAGGCTGGTTTGGTCCTCAGCTTCCTGGTCAGGTTTCCCCGCGGCCTCCGCTGCCGCCATCCACCGCTGGGTGCCGTCTGCATTCCCTCGCCGCGCCACGGTGCTTCTCTGTTGCCGGCTCACATCAACCGAGGTTCCAGATGGGTGCAAGGAGATGTGGGTGGGAAGGAGTAGGGTATCGGGGATTGAGGTGCCAAAGGCCCCCACCCCTGGAGGTGGGGAAGGGGAGGATTCATTTGTGCTGATGCTCTTCTTTTGGACATGCCCTGCCATCTGTCTGTCCCTCTCTTGCTCTCCTGCCACCGGGAAGTAGGAGTTTTGGTGAGCAGAAGGCTCCAGCTGTACGCTCGATGCCACCTTGAGGGTGCGTGGCTGTAGGGTGCATGTAAGAGACGATGGATGGGTGGGTGGTAGGGCAGAAAAATCCTGCCCTCCCCCAAAGGGAGAAGAGGTTCAAAAATGTTGTGATTTATGAAAAAGTCGAACACTACCCGCTCTCACATTAACCCGACCAAGTCTTCCGGAGTTTCCCTGGCACCCGCGCAGGCCCTAACACTAGCTGTCTCTGCTTCTGTATGTCTCTTCAAGGAGTCATTACTCCCAGTTGGGCACAAGCCGCCTTCTTGGCACTTGAATGACAAGGGAGTCTGAGGAAGAGGGCGAGGAAGGGGAGGAGGCAGCGGGCGGGGAGTGGAGGGAGAGAAGGTAGAAGGGTATTTACATCTTGCATGAACTTGCGGCAGACTGGACGGATCTCTTTGCTCAAGGTAGCACTGAACATCATGACCTGCTTCTCGTGGGGGGTCATGCGAAAAATTTCCTGGACATCCCGACGCATGTCTACAAGAACAAGGAAAAAAATTGTAGGAGAAAATAAGCAGGTATGATAAACAAAGATTAGAGGTAGACTTCCCAGTGAGGTGAAGATTGCTGGAAATAGTAACAACACAATGGAAAGAGCAATGGACTTGGAATCAAGAAGTGGGATCAGATTCCAGCTGTTTGTTTTAACCAAGCAAGAAATAAGGTAAAACCCCAAAGTTCCCAACTATGAAATGGGGATAAAGCCCAGTGCAGAGGCTCTCAAGGCCTTCAAAACATGCTTTATGGGACCTTCTCCCAACCCTTTCCTGCCCAAGCCCCAGCCAGCCTTCAGCAGACTACAAATATCAAGCACATATTATATTCCAGATATCAGAGTCCATCTATGACTCTCTGGATTACTTTTCTATCAAGTCAGGCAAATATGACATCCCTACCTGGAGCCCACCTTTATAGCTCACCATATAGAATTGCCAAAGATCATTTGTAATGACTTATGGGGCCTATGTCCAACCCCACTCTCATTCACCAAGATTCAATTCTTACAGAAAAATCTTCCATTAACCCCACCTGGCACACTAGAATACCACATCACACAAACTGCTACAAACACTCTCTACATTAATCCCAGACCTGAGTCTAGACACTTATTCAGCTATAAATTCTGACTGTAAATGCTGTGCTGGAGATGCCAGAAGGGTACTGTCTTCTCTTTCAGTTTAGAATCTCCGCTATGACTCCCAGTATATGAATCTATAATGAAAACGGTGGTGGTGGTGATGACTTATGCCTAAAATTATCAAAGTCCCCTATTCTCAAAGGTTAAAAACAAAAATCATAGAAAGATGATAGATGACACCCTTTACTGTGCTTAAAAGCATAATAAAGACCAACCAGGGAACCCAGAGCCATCAGTCATGGGTGATAGATAAGAGTCGTCCTTGCACTGAGGTGCTCCTGTTTCAAATAAACATCATTTGGCTCCAAAGAACAACTCCCCAGCATTAGCCAAGCCCCAGCACTGCCACTCACCGAGCTGTTCAAGCATCTTATCACATTCATCCAAAATAAAGTGTTTAATGTGTTTGAGGTTGAGGCTCTTATTTCGAGCCAGGGCTAGGATACGGCCTGGAGTCCCCACGACGATATGCGGGCAGTTCTTCTTCAGCACCTCTTCATCCTTCTTGATAGACAGACCACCAAAAAAAACAGCAACCTGCCGAGCCAGAAGCAAAGAGTCTCAAAACAGAGGAAGGAAAGAGTCCAATCCCCCCAGGGTTCCCACTCTGTTTGAGCTAAACCAATTTTTAGCATGTTTCCAAACTAAAACTAACTTTAGAGGGCACCTAATTTAAAAATTTTATGTCCCCCCCACCAAACACTGAGGGTGATTGCCTAAAGTTACATGGCTAGTCGGAGCAGTCAGGACAATAATTCAGTTCTACTGACTTAATCTAACCAACTTCCTTCATTTATGAGGCCAGGCTTCATTTAAAAAATAAAGGAGCCAGGTGTGGTGGCACACGCCTATAATTCCAGCTACTCAGGAGGCTGAGGCACGAGAACCTGGGAGGCAGAGGTTGTGGTGAGCCAAGATCCCACCGTTGTACTCCAGCCTGGGCAACAAGAGTGATACTCCATCTCAAAAAGAAATAAAATAAATAAAAATAAAATAAAGCCAGGCCCAGTGGCTCACGCCTGTAATCCCAGCAGTTTGGGAGGTCAAGGAAAGTGGATCACTTGAAGCCAGGAGTTCAAGACCAGCCTGGCCAACACGGTGAAACCCCATCTCTACTAAAATACAAAATTTACAAATTTACTACTAAAAAACAAAAAATACAAAATTTAGCCGGGAGGCTGAGGCAGGAGAATCGCTTGAACCCGGGAGGTGGAGATTGCAGTGAGGCGAGATTGAGCCACTGTACTCCAGCCTGGATGACAGAGCGAGACTCCATCTCAAAAAATAAAAAATAAATAAATAAAGGACAGCAAGAAATCACCAGATTAGTGTAAAGTACCACAAAAAACACATGGAACATTAAGGTTTCCTAAATAAACCCAGAATCTCAAACTCTTTTCACACAAACCCCATGAAATTACTGCTTCGGGCTAAATATTATCATTTCATGTTAAAACCATTAGGTGAATAGTTGTTTGGGGATCTGGGCCTTGGTACAGTATCAAATAACACCAGAAACTACTTTCTGGTTTCAAGGGGGAAAAGAACAACTGTGGAATCAGACTGTCACGACGCTAATCCTATGGTAAATCTAAAATCATTAATGAGGCCAGGTGCAGTGGCTCACTCCTGTAATCCCAGCACTTTGGGAGGCCGAGGTGGGTGGATCACTTGAGGTCAGGAGTTCGAGACCAGCCTGGCCAACATGGCGAAACCCTGTCACTACTAAAAAAAAACAAAAATTAGCCAGGCATGATGGCACACTGTAGTCCCAGCTACTCGGGGGGTTGAGGCGGGAGAATCGCTTGAACGTGGGAGGCGCAGGTTGCAGTGAGCTGAGATCGCGCCACTACACTCACAGCCTGAGGGACACAGCGAGACTCCATCTCAAAACAAATAAATAAAAATAAAATAAAATAACTAACATAAGTCGACCAGATTTGTGGCATAACAGGAGATACAGTATCACCTATGAAGGATTCTTGCCAAAAATGCTTAACTTCAATCAGATTTTTTCTTTTTTTTTGAGATGGGAGTCTCACTCTGCCACCCAGGCTGGAGTGTAATGGCACAATCCCAGCTCACTACAACCTCTGCTTCCTGGGTTCAAGCGATTCCCCTGCCTCAGCCTCCCAAGCAGGTGGGACTATAGGTGTGTGCCACCATGCACGGCTAATTTTTGCATTTTTAGTAGAGAGAGGGTTTCATCCTGTTGGCCACATTGGTCTTAAACTCCTGACCTCAAATAATCCACACGCCTTGGCCTCCCAAACTGCTGAGATTACAGGTGTAAGCCATTGTGCACTTGGCCAGAATCCTCAATATTCACACACCACTGGAGCTGTTTTAAAGTTTCCGGCTTTCTCTGCCACATACCCCAAAATTATTAAACTGATATGATTCAAAGTCAGTATAAAGTAGTAAGAAAAGGGTGGTCTTGTGTTAAGCATCATCCATAGCCCAATTACGAATCCTCCTGTTACATAGGAACTCAACACTCTGTTACACCACAGCAAACTAAAGCTTCTCCAAAATTAAAGAGACTATTGGCCTACAAGTTTCTTATCCCTCCAACTTGCCACACCCTCACTCTCAGGTCTCTTTACCTTGGCTTACCTTGACATTGGGCATGTATTTAGAGAAGCGCTCATATTCCTTGCTGATCTGAAAAGCCAACTCCCGAGTGTGACACATCACCAGTACAGACACCTTAGGCAGGAAGTAGACGGAGACATATGGTAAATGTAGCTCTTCATTATCCCCTCTAGGGAAGTGACTGTCACAAAAACACACCTGGGCCGATAATAAATGACTTCAATTATGTGATCTAAATCATGAACCCCACGCTTGCGACAGAACATCCCCCACAGCTGTCAGGTTGTCAAGGGTAACAGAGGTCATGTGCTCATGGCTCTGCAAGCATCATGTAGCTAGGACAAAAACACCCTTCCCTTATAGTCCTAACCAAAATCCCCTCCCCAGCACTCTCCCCAAATATACCTGCCCAGTAACTGGCTCCAGCTGTTGCAGTGTGGCCACCTCGAGCGTTCGCGTTCAGGGCGGGGGCC
>NT_167244.2:2908515-2944741 GCF_000001405.40 Homo sapiens
TGGCCAGCCTTCATCCACTCTCCCACCCAAGGGGAAATGGAGACGCAAGAGAGGGAGAGAGATGGGATGGGTGAAAGATGTGCGCTGATAGGGAGGGATGGAGAGAAAAAAACGTGGAGAAAGACGGGGATGCAGAAAGAGATGTGGCAAGAGATGGGGAAGAGAGAGAGAGAAAGATGGAGAGACAGGATGTCTGGCACATGGAAGGTGCTCACTAAGTGTGTATGGAGTGAATGAATGAATGAATGAATGAACAAGCAGATATATAAATAAGATATGGAGACAGATGTGGGGTGTGAGAAGAGAGATGGGGGAAGAAACAAGTGATATGAATAAAGATGGTGAGACAGAAAGAGCGGGAAATATGACAGCTAAGGAGAGAGATGGGGGAGATAAGGAGAGAAGAAGATAGGGTGTCTGGCACACAGAAGACACTCAGGGAAAGAGCTGTTGAATGCCTGGAAGGTGAATACACAGATGAATGGAGAGAGAAAACCAGACACCTCAGGGCTAAGAGCGCAGGCCAGACAGGCAGCCAGCTGTTCCTCCTTTAAGGGTGACTCCCTCGATGTTAACCATTCTCCTTCTCCCCAACAGTTCCCCAGGGACCTCTCTCTAATCAGCCCTCTGGCCCAGGCAGTCAGTAAGTGTCTCCAAACCTCTTTCCTAATTCTGGGTTTGGGTTTGGGGGTAGGGTTAGTACCGGTATGGAAGCAGTGGGGGAAATTTAAAGTTTTGGTCTTGGGGGAGGATGGATGGAGGTGAAAGTAGGGGGGTATTTTCTAGGAAGTTTAAGGGTCTCAGCTTTTTCTTTTCTCTCTCCTCTTCAGGATCATCTTCTCGAACCCCGAGTGACAAGCCTGTAGCCCATGTTGTAGGTAAGAGCTCTGAGGATGTGTCTTGGAACTTGGAGGGCTAGGATTTGGGGATTGAAGCCCGGCTGATGGTAGGCAGAACTTGGAGACAATGTGAGAAGGACTCGCTGAGCTCAAGGGAAGGGTGGAGGAACAGCACAGGCCTTAGTGGGATACTCAGAACGTCATGGCCAGGTGGGATGTGGGATGACAGACAGAGAGGACAGGAACCGGATGTGGGGTGGGCAGAGCTCGAGGGCCAGGATGTGGAGAGTGAACCGACATGGCCACACTGACTCTCCTCTCCCTCTCTCCCTCCCTCCAGCAAACCCTCAAGCTGAGGGGCAGCTCCAGTGGCTGAACCGCCGGGCCAATGCCCTCCTGGCCAATGGCGTGGAGCTGAGAGATAACCAGCTGGTGGTGCCATCAGAGGGCCTGTACCTCATCTACTCCCAGGTCCTCTTCAAGGGCCAAGGCTGCCCCTCCACCCATGTGCTCCTCACCCACACCATCAGCCGCATCGCCGTCTCCTACCAGACCAAGGTCAACCTCCTCTCTGCCATCAAGAGCCCCTGCCAGAGGGAGACCCCAGAGGGGGCTGAGGCCAAGCCCTGGTATGAGCCCATCTATCTGGGAGGGGTCTTCCAGCTGGAGAAGGGTGACCGACTCAGCGCTGAGATCAATCGGCCCGACTATCTCGACTTTGCCGAGTCTGGGCAGGTCTACTTTGGGATCATTGCCCTGTGAGGAGGACGAACATCCAACCTTCCCAAACGCCTCCCCTGCCCCAATCCCTTTATTACCCCCTCCTTCAGACACCCTCAACCTCTTCTGGCTCAAAAAGAGAATTGGGGGCTTAGGGTCGGAACCCAAGCTTAGAACTTTAAGCAACAAGACCACCACTTCGAAACCTGGGATTCAGGAATGTGTGGCCTGCACAGTGAAGTGCTGGCAACCACTAAGAATTCAAACTGGGGCCTCCAGAACTCACTGGGGCCTACAGCTTTGATCCCTGACATCTGGAATCTGGAGACCAGGGAGCCTTTGGTTCTGGCCAGAATGCTGCAGGACTTGAGAAGACCTCACCTAGAAATTGACACAAGTGGACCTTAGGCCTTCCTCTCTCCAGATGTTTCCAGACTTCCTTGAGACACGGAGCCCAGCCCTCCCCATGGAGCCAGCTCCCTCTATTTATGTTTGCACTTGTGATTATTTATTATTTATTTATTATTTATTTATTTACAGATGAATGTATTTATTTGGGAGACCGGGGTATCCTGGGGGACCCAATGTAGGAGCTGCCTTGGCTCAGACATGTTTTCCGTGAAAACGGAGCTGAACAATAGGCTGTTCCCATGTAGCCCCCTGGCCTCTGTGCCTTCTTTTGATTATGTTTTTTAAAATATTTATCTGATTAAGTTGTCTAAACAATGCTGATTTGGTGACCAACTGTCACTCATTGCTGAGCCTCTGCTCCCCAGGGGAGTTGTGTCTGTAATCGCCCTACTATTCAGTGGCGAGAAATAAAGTTTGCTTAGAAAAGAAACATGGTCTCCTTCTTGGAATTAATTCTGCATCTGCCTCTTCTTGTGGGTGGGAAGAAGCTCCCTAAGTCCTCTCTCCACAGGCTTTAAGATCCCTCGGACCCAGTCCCATCCTTAGACTCCTAGGGCCCTGGAGACCCTACATAAACAAAGCCCAACAGAATATTCCCCATCCCCCAGGAAACAAGAGCCTGAACCTAATTACCTCTCCCTCAGGGCATGGGAATTTCCAACTCTGGGAATTCCAATCCTTGCTGGGAAAATCCTGCAGCTCAGGTGAGATTTCCGGCTGTTGCAGCTGGCCAGCAGTCCGGAGAGAGCTGGAGAGGAGCCGCATTCTCAGGTACCTGAATCACACAGCCAAGGGACTTCCAGAGATTCGGGTGTCTAGGCTTCAAATCACCCTGTCCTAACTCTGCAACCTGAACCAGCCACTTAACCTATCTATCCAATGGGGATAGGAATGTCCACCACACATAGGGCATGTGAGAGAAGGCCTGACCTCCATCAGAGGACCTCACTCAGCCCTTGGCACAGTGGGCACTTAGTGAATTCTGGCTTCCTTCAACCAGTTTCCAGCTGTTCTATCCCCTTCCATTCTCTCAGTGGGTGAAATCGAAGAGACTGAGGACAATAAAGAACAAGGAACCGAACTGCCGGACGTGGTGGCATGCACCTGTAATCCTACCACTTTGCAAGGCCAAGGTGAGAGGATCGCTTGAACCCAGGAGTTCCAGAGCAACCTGGGCAACATAGTGAGATCCTGTCTCTATTTTTTAAAAAAGAATGAAACATAGGAATAAGATGTGGGTGAAGGACTCACATGCCGGCTTGGTCCCACTGGTCTTTGTGGTGAAGGAGGGGAGAGGTGAGAGGTGGGTAATCCGGAAAGAGAAAAGCACCCCCTCCCTGGATGAAGGCTCTTCTGGAGAGAGTCAAAGACAAATAAGGGTGGGGCGCAGTGGCTCATGCCTGTTATCCCAACACTTTGGGAGGCTGAGGTGGGAGGACCACTTGAGCCCACTAGTTCAAGACCAGCCTGTGCAACATAGCAAGACCTTGTTTCTAGAAAAAAAATTAAAGATTAGTCAGGTGTAGTGGTGCATGCCTGTAATCCTAGCTCCTCAGGAGGCTGAGGCAGGAGGATCACTCAAGCCCAGGAGTTTGAGGTTACAGTAAGCTATGATCATGCCACTGTACCCCCGTCTGGGTGACAGAACGAGACCCTGTCTCAAAAAAATAATAATTCCAAAAACAAATATGGAGACGGAAATTGAGCCCCCCTAGACTGGGAGCCCCCACTGAGTTCGGAAATTAGGCTTTACCTCCAGCCCTGGGGTGCCAGGCAGGAGAAAACCATGTGGTAGGCTGAGGGGGTAGGGTGACCCATTGGGGTGACCTAGATAGGGCCTTGGGTCACCCTCTGCCTCCTCCAGCCTGTGGCTGAAAGTCAGCCATGAAGTAATGGGGGACACTGTTACTCATCCCAGAAGCACCCACACTTACTCACTTTTGGGAAGGGGGACCTAAAGTGTGAAAAAAAGGTGAGGATTTTCCGTCTCACCCTAAATGGGACACCCTAAGTGGGGCATCGGTTTTTCCTCCTCCCCAGAACTTCCTGGTGTTTTCAGGCACCACAGGCTCCTTCCTGCCATCCCCATCTCTCTCTAATATTCTCCCCTTCTTTCTCCTTCAGCCTCCTCCCTTCAGACCCCATGAGCCTTGAATTAAGCTCCTTGGAGGAGAAGAGTTGACTGTCGGGTAGGAGACAGAGAGGCCTTCAGGCAGCTCTAGGGGGAGAAGTGCGGGGCCCCTCCAGGCTTCATTCCTCTGTCATGATAGGGGCTTACTCTGCTGCTGGGCCTTTCTGAGTGGTGCTTGCTGGGCTCTGTAATGACCCCTCTCACTGTTGGGGGGTACCCAAGAGAAAAGAGTATGGTGCAGAGTCTGGTTGGGACCATGTGGCCCTGAAAATCAGGATGCCTAGAGAAGCTTCGGAGTTTGAGAAGTCCCCCTTCCTCCCACCCTCCAACTGGGCTAATGGTGGGGCCTGGCCATTCAGAGGCAGGGAGGGGGTGGGACAGGCAGACCATCATCCCTAGGAGCAAAGGCCATACACTGTGTTGTGATGAATTGTTTCAAGCAACCAGAAGAGTACTGAGAATATTTAACCCGCACCCGTGCACCCACCCTGAATTAAGACGTGTGTCGCAACTCAGCATCTTTATCGGCAGCACTGAAGCTTTCCATTCTTTATTTTCATCAGGTTCAAAATCAATTTCCAAACAGTCTCCTACATTTTTCCCACTGCCATGGGGTCCTGGGCGTCCGGGCCCCCAATATTCACGCACTCGCACCACGCACTCATATTCCCTCACCCCACCATCACGGCCCCAAAGAAGGTCTTCCCTCTCGCGAAGTCCACCATATCGGGGTGACTGATGTTGACGTACACCCTCTCGCCCCTCCGGAGCTGCACCAGGCCGCCGAACCCCACGCTCGTGTACCAGAGAGGCCCGTACCCTTGTCTCCTGGCCGGGTCCAGCACTGGAGTCACCGTCTCGGCGCCCTCGAGCAGCAGCTCGGGAGTGCCCGGCCCGTAGGCGCCCCCCGCCCGGTACAGAGAGCTGCGCAGCGTGACCGAGCGGCCCTGGGGGTCCCCGCCGCCAGGGGGCGCCCGGCCCCGGTAGCCGACGAGACAGTAGAGGTAATAGAGGCCGTCCTGCGGGAGCGCCAGCCCCTCGGCGTCCGAGAACTGCGTCCCGCTCGTCAGAAACGCCTGTTCCTTCGTCGTCTCCCAGCCTAGCCCCTGCCCCTTCAGCGGAGCGCCTGCGGAGACACGGGCCGACGCGCTCTTGGGAATGCGATCCTAAAGGCTTGGGACTTCTGGGGAAGTGGCGGCTTTTAGCCCCTGCGGGAGCCGAGCCGGGCCGGGGGAGGAGGGATGGTGCTGTTTCTGGGATGAGTGCGAGTTGGGGGCCGAGGGAACACGGATGTGGGGTGCAGAACGCTGTAGTGGGGACCTCCAGGCCGGCTTTTGCTTGCACCGGAGGGAAGAAGAAACTACACTGCGGGGACGAGCGTAAGAGTGGGCACGAGCGACAAAAGGTCGTGAAGCGGGTGGGAAACCGAGCACTGGAATCATGGAGCCGAAGGACTCTGGGCGAGCAGAACTGGAACCTTCGGATTATTTACACTCTTATTCAGGTCTTGGAGGTCCTTACCTATGAGGTGGGCAGCTGGGAGCCCGGGGCTGAGATCTGTTTCTGGCTCCTCCTCTGGCAGCTTCTGAAACCCTGGAAGGGGCAAAGAGTCCACGATTGGGGGCAGGGCAGCCACCCATGCAGGCTACCCTTGAGAGAACAGGGCGCAGGGATGGGGAGCCTGGATTCCTAGAGGAAGAGGTATCTGGGGACGCAGCAGGGAGCTGGGAGCCCCTGAGGGTCTGAAGCGGGGAAGGAGAGACAGTCTGCTCTTACCCAGTCCTTGCTGGGCCTGTGCCCCGGGGTCGGCCGTCTCCGTTACCTGGTTGGGTGGGGTCACAGTGCCCAGAGTTCAGATTCAGCTCATGTCACCCCTACCCCTCTGAAAGTGGACCCAAGCTGCAGGCCTGGGGTTTCTCCTACCAGCACCATCCCCAACACACACCTCCTTAGAAGGGAGAACAAGCAAGGCATAGGTACTTGGGCGGAGAAACAGATGTACCTCGGGAAGAGGAGAGGAGACACAAGGGGCTTATGTCGGGACACAAGCACAACATCACAGGAACATGGAAAGAGAGTCAGCAAAGAGACAAGACATCCCCACCAGGGACAGCCGAGCCAGCTGAGCCAGAGGGGGCAAAAGACCACAGGCACAACCAGAGGGAGCCAAGCATCCGCAAGATACAACTCTCCACCAGGGCCTGTTGCAGCCACTCACCAGTCCTCCCTGATCCTGGGGCACTAAGGCCAGCACAGCCAGGACAGTGATAGGCACCGCCAGCAACAAGGTCACCAGAGAAGTGGCTCCTGCCACAGCTAGCAGGAGGGAACCCCTCCCCTGGAGCCTCCCACCCCTGCCCTCCAGCCCCAGTGCCCCCATTGAGACTGAACCAGAGCCAGAGCAGGGGGCTTTCATACCTCAGGGACGGGCCCACCCCCTCCCTGTAGACCTGCACACCTGGCTGGGACTTTCCGCACACCCCTGCTCCCCTCACCCAGCTTCCTGTTTACCCAGAGCTGGGGTGGGGCAGCTGGATGCCTGGGTTCTCTGAACTGGGGAAGAAGTTGAGGTTAGGGAGACAGGCTCTCAGGGTGGAACCAAAGGGGTCTTTAGACATCTTCTGGCTCAGCAGAGAGAGAAACTGAGGCCCAGGGAGGGAAGGTAGCTTGCAGGAAGCCAGTCAGCAGAGCTGAAATGAGAACACAGATCTCCAGGTTTCCAATGTGGTTTGCATTCTTCTATACCCTCAAGGTAGGTGCTGGAGGAAGAGCTGATCCCGTCTCTGAGGTCAAGGGCCGGACTAGGACAAGGACTGGAATCTTGAGGGATGGATGTCTGGGTTCCCTGAGAAGAACTGATTCCCATACTGGGCTGACCTCCTCCCGTTCCCTTGCTCATCTCCAGCCCCCTGTGCTGAGTGAGAAAGGGAGAGGTAAGCCTTAGCCTCACCACTGACTACTGACTCACTAAGGAGGGATGGAAATGGAGCTTTACCTCCCTTGCTACAAAAAGTAAAGACAGATGGACGAGGCATACTCCCACCCTCAGAGAGCTTCCAAGTCTACAATGAGCCCTATCCATTAGTAGGTGCTTACTAAATGTTTATACATAAATGAATAAAAGGACAAATAAATGCAGGAATAACCAAAACAAAGCAGCAAGGACCACATGAATGGTAGATGTAGGCAGCATGAGTGGTTAAGAGTCAAGGGAGTAGCCGGGGTAGTGGCTTACACCTGTAATCCCAACACTTTGGGAGGCTGAGGCAGGTGGATCACTTGAGGTCAGGAGTTCGAGACCAGCCTGGCCAACATGGTGAAACCCTGTCTCTACTAAAGATACAAAAAGTTAGCCGGGCGTGGTGGCACGCGCCTGTAATTCCAGCTACACAGGAGGCTGAGGCAGGAGAATCACTTAAACCTGGGAGGCAGAGGTTGCAGTGAGCCAAGATTGCACCATTGCACTCCAGCCTGGGCAACAGGCTGAGACTCTCTCTCTCAAAAAAAAAAAAAAAAAAAAAAAAAGAGTCAAGGGAAGAAAGACCAGGTCCAAGGAAGCTGGAAGTGGCTCCAATCATCTCCCCTTCTTGGTAACATCTCTATGTGTTTCCGTAATACTAATAATAATATAGCTGACCCACAAAATGCACTTAACATGTTTATGCCACTGATTTACACACTTTAATAATTTTTTTTTTTGAGACAGGGTCTCGCTATGTCACCCAGACTGGAATGCAATGGCAGGATCATGGCTCACTGCAGCCTTGACCTCCCAGGATCTATGGATTCACCTACCTCAGCCTCCTGAATAGCTGGGACTATAGGCACATGCCACCATGCCCAGCTAATTTTTGCATTTTTTGTAGAGATGGATTTTTGCCACATTGCCCAGGCTGGGCTCAAACTCCTGGACTCACGTGATCTGCCCGTGTTGGCCTCCTAAAGTGCTGGGATTACAAGCATGAGCCATCATGCCCAGCCAATAATTATAATCCTGACAAAAACCCTAAGAGGAAACTGAGGTACAGAGAGGTTAAGAAACTTATGGAGCTCACAGAGTCAGTGGCAGAACCAGAATTTGAACCCAGGCATCTGGCTCCAGAGCCTTGATAACAAGACAGTTTAAAAACTGAATACTGGGGCTGGGCGCAGTGGCTCTTGCCTATAATACCAGCACTTTGGGAGGCCAAGGAAGGTGGATCATCTGAGGTAAGGAGCTCGAGAGCAGCCTGATCAACATGGTGAAACCCCATCTCTACTAAAAATATAAAAATTAGCGGGGCGTGGTGGTAGGCACCTTTAATTCCAGCTACTTGGGAGGCTGAGGCAGGAGAATCACTTGAACCCAGGAGGCGGAAGTTGCAGTGAGCCGAAATCATGCCATTGCACTCCAGCCTGGGTGACAAGAACAAGACTCTGTCTTAAAAACAAAAACAAACAAACAAAACAGTATTAGGCCAGGCGAGATGGCTCACACCTATAATCCCAGCACTTTAGGAGACCAAGGCAGGTGGATCACTTGAGGTCAAGAGTTTGAGACCAGCCTGGCCAACATGGTGAAACCCCTTCTCCATTAAAAATACAAAAATTAGCTGGATATGGTGGCACAAACCTGTAGTCCCAGCTACTTGGGAGGCTGAGACAGGAGAATCGCTTGTACCCAGAAGGCAGAGGTTGCAGTGAGCCAAGATCACACCACTGGACTCCAGCCTGGGCAACAGAGCAAGACTCCGTCTCAAAAAAAAAAAAGAGTACTGACTTGAGATTTGTATGTAAAATTTGCCTTCCTCAGGCCAGAAAAGAAATGGGGAAATAAATACTGAACTCCAGTCAATGTTAAGCTTCTGAAGGGTTTAGATGTAAAATGTACTGATATTTGTAATTTTAAAAGATATTTAAAAGTGAGATGGATTGATAAATATGTGATAAAGCAAATAAAAAATGTTAATAGAGCCAGGTGCAGTGGCCCACTCCTGTAATTCCAGCACTTTGGAAGGCTAAGGTGGAAAGATTGCTTGAGACCAGGAGTTCAAAATCAGCCTGGGCAACATAGTAAGACCCCATTTCTACAAAGCCTCATGTGGTAGCTGGTGTCTGTAGTCCTAGCTACTCAGAAGGCTAAGGTGGGAGGACCTCTGAGCCCAGGAATTCAAGGCTGCAGTGAGCTATGATTTCACCACTGCACTTCAGGCTGAGTGACAGAGTGAGACCCCATCTCAAAAACAAAACAAAACAAAAAATGTTAATAGTAGCATCTAGGTGGTAAGAATATGTTCACTGTACAATTATTCTCATTTCACCCTATGTTTGCACTTTTTAATAATAAAATGTAAAAAAAACAAAACAAACAAACAAAAAACCCTGAATATTATTCAGCATGGGGAACATGGAGGATGGGGAGAAGGGTGGGGGAGGAAGTAGAAGGTTCTTGAATTTGGAAGGGGAAACGCAAATTAATATGGACCCACCCAGGCACCACATCTCCTCCTCACCCCTTGCCTTACAGGCGCTCCCCAGTCTTCACCCTCCTCAAGGAGTGGGTGTGCAATCCTCCAGCACCCATCTCCTTCTCCATCACAGTGCCACTAAGAAGCCTTCACCCAGGTCTCTCCAGAGAGCCTCAGGCCGCTGCCTTTACTTAGTTCTGTGTTCAATGCCAGAATGCTGCCTCCTACAGGAAGTCCACCTGTATTGCCCACACCTCCTTTCCTGTCACCAACTTGTCACCAACTTTCTGTCCTTGATCTATCCACAGGGCTCATGTAGATCTAGTATGGCTGCCTTTAACTCTCATGTTTGTTAATCAGACAGCCAAGCAGCCTGCTGCATAGAGCTGCAGAACACCAAGTGGGTCACCAGAACACCAAATATGCCAGAGCTCCCAGTCTGAACTGGAGCAGGGTACATGTGTCCACAGACATATGCCAAGATCAAGAGGTCTCAACAGATGCAGTGTAAGAGGTAATAGAGAAGAGTTAATCAAGGAAGACACCTGAAGGTGGTGGGTGTTTGCTGACTAGTGGCAGGATCAGTGAAATGACTGGAGCTGAGGCAGATTATGGCCCTAGCTACAGGCCCAGAAGTTTGAAAAGAAAGATGTTGTAACCCTAACCCTGGAGCCGAACTTCCTCTCCTAACAATGCTGGGGAGGAACCCAGGCTGGGGGAGAAGTTAAAGCCAGAGGAGGGGCAGGAATGTCTGAGGTGGCAACACTTCTCTTCAGCCAGACAGCACTGGCCAGTTTGGAGTCTGTCCATCCTGCAGGCCACAAGCTCTGGGTAAGCTGGGAATGGGCAGGGACCTTGGTGGAAGGATGGTCACACCCCAGAGTGGGGTGAAGCTAAGATGAGGGGAGGGAGAGTATGGGTTTGAGTTTCCCTGGGCCGTCGAGGAATCCTCTGAGTCTCTGCTCCCCAAAGAAATTAAAGACAATTCATTTCTGTGCCCACGGCCCTTATGGCCTCCACCTGCACTTCTGCTCCCCACCCCCCAGAATTCCTCTTAAACCCAGAAGGGTCCCAGTTTCCAGACCCTAGTCAGTATATCTGGCTCTGGGGTGAAGAGAACGGCCCCCTCTTCACCCTCAAACAGGAACCAGTGGTTGGAGGGGAGGAAGTGCCTGAGGGGAAGTTATGGGGCCCCAGATACTCCTCCATGCCCCACTTCAGCCCTAGCAGCATCTGCCTGTGGGAAGCAGCTCTCCACACCAGCCAAGGGGGCCCCCACACTCCCGCGCTGCTCTGCGGCTCAGGGAGCAGCCCACCTGCTGGGTGTGCTGATATCACCCTCCCTTCTTCCCCCCAGTGCCCACACCCACCCAGGCCCAGGCTCCTTCCCCTCCATCATCCCCTTACCAGCACCTAGAACCATCCAGGGCTGAAAAGTCCCCTCCAAACCACGTGGTCAGCCCAGGGCAGAGGAAAGGGCTGGGCTCTGGAGTTGGGCAGAGCTGGCCTTAAACCCCAGCTCCACCTTTCTGGGATGGGTGACCTAGTAAAGTCCAGGCTTGAATCTCGGGTCTTTACTTGGGCAACGGGCACCATGATACCCTATGTTCTGGGGATTAGCAGTGAGGAATGGAAAGTGCCCAGCTCAGGGTTGGCACATAAGGGAGGCTCCCCAGCCTGGGAACGATTATAACAGAGGGCCCCTCACTTCACAGATGAGGAACTTGAGGCAAGTCACCAGCCCCTGATCATTTCGCCTAAAAGAGCAAGGACTAGAGTTCCTGACCTCCAGGCCAGTCCCTGATCCCTGACCTAATGTTATCGCGGAATGATGGTAAGTAAAGTGTCTCTTGCATCTGCATAGAGAGAGTCCTGGGAGCTTAGGAAGTGATGGGGAACAGTGATGTATGCAGCTCATGACTAGGTGGACAGGCCTCTGGGGACAGCTGGTACAGGAGGGAAAGGGACCTCACGGGAGGCCCAGAAACCTGGTAAGAGGTGAGGTATTAAGGTCTGGGATGGAGAAGCTCTGAGGGTATATTTTTCTGCCTCTAAAACTGTTGGAGAGGGAATCTGAGAAAGCTGCAACCAACCAGGAGGCTGGGGTACGCTGGAGAAGGAATGGGCTTCCTAACCTTGAGCCCTCTTCCCTGAAGATATATGTATCTACGGGGGCCTGGGGCTGGGCGGGCTCCTGCTTCTGGCAGTGGTCCTTCTGTCCGCCTGCCTGTGTTGGCTGCATCGAAGAGGTGAGCGCTGCACTCCCTCCCTCCCCCTGCAGCAGTGCCCCCTGTGCCCCCACCCCCACACGCTTTCCCACTGCTTTCCCAGAACACTGCCTGGCCCTGGAGCCACTGGGAAGCCAACAGGGGAGTCCACGCCTGCTGGTGGGGGGAGCCCGGGAGGGCCCGGGAGAAGCACAAAGGGTGGGCTGTGTTGAGCTTCTTCTTTTCTTCCAGTAAAGAGGCTGGAGAGGAGCTGGGTGAGTCTGGGGACAGGGAAGGGGGAGGGCAAGAGAGATCCTGAGTGGGTGAGTGGGGAGAAGCATGGCTGAGCGCTGAGAGGAGGGTTGGGGACGGGAGACAAGGAGAGAGAAAGTAGGAGCATGAGAGAGGCAGAGAAAATCGAGGCAAAAGAGAAAGAGAAAATGAGACAGAAACCAAGAGAAAAAGTGAGACAGAGGATAGGAGAGACAGGGAGAAAATGAGAGTGAGAGAGACACAAAGAGAAGAGCAATGAAAGAGAGAGAGAGAGAGAGGCTCCAGAACCAGGCACAGTGGCTCACGTCTGTCATTCCAGCTATCGCAAGGCTGAGGCAGGAAGATAGCTTGAGCTCAGGGGTTGAAGACAATCCTGGACAACATAGTGGGACTCTGTCTCCAAAGAAAAAAGAGAGAGAGAGAGAGAGAGAGAGAGAGGGAGAGAGAGAGAGAGAGAGGGAGAGAAGTAAGAAAGGCTGGAGGTGGGAGCAGAACTCACAGGGAAGGATCTGACGGCATCGCCTCCCATCAGCACCTTCTGTCCTGGTCCCAGGCCCAGGGCTCCTCAGAGCAGGAACTCCACTATGCATCTCTGCAGAGGCTGCCAGTGCCCAGCAGTGAGGGACCTGACCTCAGGGGCAGAGACAAGAGAGGCACCAAGGAGGATCCAAGAGCTGACTATGCCTGCATTGCTGAGAACAAACCCACCTGAGCACCCCAGACACCTTCCTCAACCCAGGCGGGTGGACAGGGTCCCCCTGTGGTCCAGCCAGTAAAAACCATGGTCCCCCCACTTCTGTGTCTCAGTCCTCTCAGTCCATCTCGAGCCTCCGTTCAAATTGATCATCATCAAAACTTATGTGGCTTTTTGACCTTTGAATAGGGAATTTTTTAAATTTTTTAAAAATTAAAATAAAAAAAACACATGGCTCACCCTTCCACCCACTCTGGGGTCAAATAGTAATTTATTGGGTGAATGACAGTGTTCAGGGACCCAAGCTCCCCTAACAGCCAGAAGAGGGTATGTGTGGGCCTGGCAGGAAAGGGCAGTTGCCAAGGAGGAGTCATATCTGATCCTTCCCATTTCTCAGGACAATCAGGCTCAGCCTCCTGGGACTGGGGGAAGCAGATGTGCTGAGCTCCCACATGGTGGTGGGAGGGGCGCTGGGACCACAGCCGGCAGCTGCCTTCTTGGACCTTTCCAGGTCAGACCTGGTGGAAGGGAAAGTTCAGAGTTGGGGGAATCCGGAGAGAGTAGATTTGGCATCTGGAGAATGGAGAAGAAAACACTTGAGACTCATGAGGAGTTAGTGGTGGGGCAGATTTATTGGGGTCTTTTGAAGAGGACTAGGGACATCTGGGCTCTGGAATCACTCCTCGGGGCCCATCTGAGGAGTGGCAGTGTGTTCCCATGTGACAGTGGCCTGGTCAGAGAGAGGACAGGAGCTGCTCAGTGTTGCAGTCCCGAGGCTCTCCTCTTCCTGGTCTCTGTCCTCCCTCCTCCCACTCTCTTACTGCCCCTCCCATCCCGTCCACTATTGCCCCTGGCTCCATTACTCACATTTGCCCTGGTAATAGACGGTGCTGCCCACGGCCACAGAGAGAAAGCTGACAGCATAGAATCCAGCCCGAAGGAGGAGGACTGTACCAGCCCCTAGCTGAGGATGTTCTGCATGGGGCAATGGAGACGGGGGTTGGGGAAGAAGTGCACACAGGCTCAGGGAGGGAAGGGGCCTCAGAGGAGCATCCCTGCCTCCCAAGGACATTGCCTCTTGGGGCCTCCAGCCAGGAGGAGACACCACCTCCCAGCATCTCACCTTTCTCCACCACCAGCCGAGTCCCATTCCCTGTCCCGACACCAAGGCCCAGCACCTCCACTCTGCACACGTAGATGCTGGCGTCATGGCCTCGCACGTCCCGGATGTGCAGCTCAGCCTGGTGGTCATGGAGGAAACGGGAAGAAGCAAGTGGGGCCAGGCGGCCCCTGAACTCTGGGGTTCCATTCCTCACCTCCTTCCCTGGAACCACCTCATCTCGGAACCACGTGACGGAGCCAATGGCCAGTCTCCCTTGGCTGGCATTGAAGGAGCAGGGCAGGAAGGCAGAGGATCCTTCCAGGGTACGAATCTCAGGGGGCTGGGACACCCAGAGAGCACAGGATCCTGGGGGCAGAAGGAAGACCCAGAGAAACACCTCCCCAGTTATTCCAAAGAGAAAAGACAACAGAGCTTGGAGTAGAACATCCCAGCTTTCTCCAGGCATAGGGTGCATGGGAATAGATACTTTGGGTGCCTCATTAAACCCTTCCCTCTTAACCAATCTGATTTCTTAACATTGCTTATTAAATCATTTTTCGGCTGGGTGCAGTGGCTCACGCCTGTAATCCCAGCACTTTGGGAGGCCGAGGTGGGCGGATCACCAGGTCAGGAGATCGAGACCATCCTGGCCAACATGGTGAAACCCCGTCTCTACTAAAAAAATACAAAAATTAGCCGGGCATGGTGGTGTGCACCTGTAATCCCAGCTACTCGGGAGGCTGAGGCAGGAGAATCGCTTGAACCCGGGAGGCAGAGGTTGCAGTGAGCCAAGATTGCGCCATTGCACTCCAGCCTGGGCGACAAAGCAAGACTCCATCTCAAAAAATAAAAAATAAAAATCATTTTTCAAATTCTTCCTATACCAACTCTCACTCTCACCCTCTGCCATCATTCTCCAGCCAGTTCAGTAGTAACTTGTCTAGCTGAAATGTAAACCATCATGGTGAAATTAAGCTCATTAATGAATGCAGCTGCCTAGTTAACTAATATCACTCATTATATTATCCAGGTATTATTTTAGTACAAATGGCATTGTACAGTAAGCCATCCTTCCTCTTTTTCTTTTTTCTTTTTTTGAGATGGGGTCTTGCTCTGTTGCCCAGGCTGGAATGCAGTGGTGCAATCTTGGCTCACTGCAAACTCCGTCCCCTGGGTTCAAGCGATCCTGGTGCCTCAGCCTCCCAAGTAGCTGGGACTACAGGCACCCACCACCACGACTGGCTAATTTTTGTATTTTCAGTCGAGACAGGGTTTCACCATCTGGTCTCAAACTCCTGACCTCAAGTGATCCACCCACCTCGGACCAGGCTGGTCTCAAACTCCTGATCTCAAGTGATCCACCTGCCTCGGCCTCCCAAAGTGCACCCAGCCACTCTTGGTTTTCGTTAAAGAAAGTAACTAATTAAATCTCCAGGTGAAGACGTGGCCTTAATTGGTTGAGATTCCTATTTAACCCGTCCATGTTGATGAATTAAACCAAATATTAAAATCCCTGATTAAATTATCTACTTAGGGAAATTTACAAGTCATTCTATTTCAGTGGTTCTCAAACTTGAGTGTGTATGGAAATTACCTGGAGCATCTGCTAGAACAGATTCCTGGGCCTACCCCCCGAGTTTTTGACTCAGTAGGTCTGGAGTGGGGCCTAAGAATTTGTTCTAGGTTCCCAGAAATCCACATTTTGAGAACTCCTGCATTTAGTTAATAATATGCCTGATAGTTAAGGTCTCTCAGTTCATTAAAAACAGTTTCGGCCGGGTGCAGTGGCTCACGCCTATAATCCCAACACTTTGGGAGGCCAAGGCGAGTGGATCACCTGAGGTCAGGAGTTTGAGACCAGCCTGGCCAACATGGTGAAACCTCGTCTCTACTAAAAATACACAAGTTAGCCAGCAGTAATGGCATGCACCTGTAATCCTAGCTACTTGGGAGGCTGAGACAGGAGAATCATTTTTACCCAGGAGGTGGAGGCTGCAGTGAGCTGAGATACCGCCACTGTACTCTAGACTGGACAACAGAATGAAACTGTCTCAAAAAAAAAGTTTCACCACCAGGCGGGCGCAGTGGCTCATGCCTATAATTCCAGTAATTTGGGAGACCGAGGCAGGCAGATCACTTGAGATCAGGAGTTTGAGACCAACCTGGCCAACATAGCAAAACCCCATCTCTACTAAAAATACAAAAATGGCTGGGCGCAGTGGCTCAGGCCTGTAATCCCCGCACTTTAGGAGGCCGAGGCAGGCAGATCACCTGAGGTCAGGAGTTCAAGACCAGCCCGGCCAACATGGTAAAACCCTGTCTCTACTAAAAATACAAAAATTAGTTGGGTGTGGTGGTGCGCGCTTGTAATCCCAGCTACCTAGGAGGCTGAGGCAGGAGAATTGCTTGAATCTAGGAGGCAGAGGTTGCAGTGAGCCAAGATCATGCCACTGCACTCCAGCCTAGGTGACAGAGCAAGACTCCGTCTCAAAAAAAAAAAAAATTAGCCAGGTGTGGTCGTGCGTGCGTGTAGTCCCAGCTACTCAGGAGGCTGAGGCAGGAGAATCACCTGAACATGGGAGGCAGAGGTTGCAGTGAGCCAAAATCGCACCACGGCACTCCAGCCAGGCGACAGAGCGAGACTCAGTCTCAAAAAAAAAAAAAAAAAAGTTTCACCAAGAAATTTATCATAGATTTACTTGGATCTCTCAAACTAAAAAGCCTCACAGTGGGTGACACAGAGAGACTGTGAATTGGGGGAGTCCACTGAGTGTCACCTTTGGAGCAGTCCCACTCCTCCCTCAGAGCCGTGTGTTTCAGCCCCCACCAAGCCCGTTCCCTATAGCATCTAGTCCAGCCTCCTGGATCTCCCTCCTCCCACCCACACTCCTTGGGGTCCTGAGCGCACGCCCTGTCACCTGGATGGACCATGATCAAGATGAGCAACAGCATCCAGGCCATGTCGGAAGATGTCCCAGTTGGCGAAGGGGATCTGAGCAGTGAGGTCTGGGTGGAGGAGGAAGGACTCACTACTTGTAGCCAGGCCTTTGGTCACCAGATGGGGATGGGGAGCTTCCTATGACACACGGGACTCACACATCACTTGCCAAGGACCACAACTGCCAGGGACCTCGAGCATCAAATGCTTGCCTCCCTGAGGAGAGAGGACAGATGCTGCTGGAGGAGATGTCAGGGTCTCTAGGAGGCCAAGGGGCCAGCTTGTGGCAGGCTAGCTAAGCGTGTGAGGGGGAGGGTGGGGCTTAGATGGCTGCTAACCCAAGGGTGAGTGGGCGGTTGGGCGGGTGAGACCAGGATGTGGGTTCCCCCACCTTCCGAGGTTCAAGGAGACCAGCTTTTACCCAGAACAAGCCTCCAGGAGCCCTCCTTGGCCCAGAAGCTAACCTACTTACCCTCCCTGCTGCTCACCAGTACCCAGACCCATCCCACCCATTCCCTTCCTGGAATCTGGCCTCACTGCACCCCAGGGCTACTCCAAGATTTCTATGAGGGATTAGGAGAAGCAAGCTGATTGGTGAAGCTATATTTAATTTGCATAGCAATCACCTTGTGTGTGTGTGTGTGTGTGTGTGTGTGTGTGTGTGTGTGTGTGTGTGTGTGTTTGGTTGGGTTTTTTTGTTTTTTGTTTTTTTTTTGAGCTGGAGTCTCACTCTGTTGCCCAGGCTGGAATGCAGTGGCACAATCTCGGCTCACTGCAACCTCTGCCTCCTGGGTTCAAGCAATTCTCTTGCCTCAGCCTCCCAAGTAGCTGGGATTACAGGCGCACATCACCAAGCCCAGCTAAATTTTGTATTTTTTGTAGAGACAGGGTTTTACCATGTTGGCCAGGCTGGTCTCCAACTCCTGATCTCAAGTGATCCACCAGCCTCGCCCTCCCAAAGTGCTGGGATTCCTGTTTTGGTTTTTTGAGACAGGGTCTGGCTCTGTCTCACCCAGGCTGGAGTTCAGTGGCGCCATCACGGCTCACTGCAGCCTCAACCTCCAGGGCTCAGTTGATCCTCCCACTTCAGTCTCCTGAGTAGCTGGGACTGCAGGCGCACACCACCACACCAGGCTAATTTTTGTATTTTTTGTAGAGATGGGGTCTCCCTGTGTTGCCCAGGCCGGTATCCAACTCCTGGGCTCAAACAATCCATCCACTTAGGCCTCCCAAAGTGCATGAGTCACCATGCCTGGCGAAATGTATTTCTTAAATAATGAGACTTGAAAGTCTAAATTACTCCTTAAACCATGGACTACAGGATGGATGTTATGTTAGCAGGCAGGAAAACAACATTCAGCTGGGCGTGGTGGCTCATGCCTGTAATCCCAGCACTTTGGGAGGCTGAGGTGGGAGGATCACCTGAGGTCAGGAGTCCGAGACCAGTCTGATCAACATAGAGAAACCCCGTCTCTACTAAAAATACAAAATTAGCCGGGTGTGGTGGGGCGCACCTGTAATCCCAGCTACTCGGGAGGCTGAGGCAGGAGAATCACTTGAACCCAGGAGGCGGAAGTTGCAGTGAGCTGATATCGCACCATTGCACTCCAGCCTGGGCAACAAGAGCGAAACTCCGTCTCAAAAAAAAAAAAAAAGAAAAAGAAAACAACATTCGTCTCTTTGGACATCTCCATCAGAGCTCTTGGATAACTATGTACATTGTCAATGAGCAGTAATCATTTTAAAGAAATCTTGTTTTTCGGAGCAGTAGACCTCAACAGTAGGCTTAAAATATTCAGTAAACCAGCGGGGCATAGTGGCTTACACTTGTAATCCCAGCACTTTGGGAGGCCAAGGTGAGAGGACGGCTTGAGGCCAGGGGTTTGAGACCAGCCTGGGCAACATGGCAAGACCCTGTCTCTACAAAAAAATTTAAACTTAGCTGGACATAGTGGCACACACCTATAGTACCAGCTACTCAGGAAGTTGAGGAAGGAGGATTCCTTGAGCCCAGGAGTTTCAAGGATGCAGTGAGCTATGATTTTGCCACTGCATTTCAGCCTGAGCAATGGAGGGAGACCTTGTCTCTAAATAAAATACAATTTAAATTGGGAATAGTAGTAAATGGAGTTTAAAAAAAAATAATTTTGGCTAGGTATGGTGGGTCACACCTGTAATCCCAGTACTTTGGGAAGCCCAGGAGGGCAGATCACTTGAGTTAAAGAGTTGGAGGCCAGGCCAGGCATGGTGGCTCATGCCTGTAATCCCAGCACTTTGGGAGGCTGAGGCGGGCGGATCACGAGTTCAGGAGATCGAGACCATCCTGGCTAACACGGTGAAACCCCATCTCTACTAAAAATACAAAAAATTAGCTGGGTGTGGTGGCATCTGCCTGTAGTCCCAGCTACTCAGGAGGCTGAGGCAGGAGAATCACTTGAACCTTGGAGGCAGAGGTTGCAGTTAGCCGAGATTGCGCCACTGCACTCCAGCCTGGGTGACAGAGCAAGACTTTGTCTCAAAAAAAAAAAAAAAAAAAAAAGAGTTGGAGATCAGCCTGGACAACCTGACGAAACCCTATCTCTACAAAAAATACAAAAATTAGCTGAGCATAGTGGCTCATGTCTGTGGTCCCAACTACTCAGGAGGCTGAGGTAGGAGGATCATTTGACTCTGGAAGGCAGAGGTTTCAATGAGTTGAGATCATGCTGCTGTACTACAGCCTGGGCAACATATTGAGACCGTGTCTCAAAAACAAACAAACAAACAAAAAAAAGAAAAATTTTAAAATCAGTAAACCACGTTGTAAACAGATGTACTATCATCTAGGCTTTTATTTATTTATTTATTTATTTATATATTTTTTTGAGATGGAGTCTTGCTCTGTCACCCAGGCTGGAGTGCAGTGGTGCAATTTTAGCTCACTGCAACCTCCGCCCTCTGGGTTCAAGTGATTTTCCTGCCTCAGCCTCCCTAGTATCTGGGATTACAGGTGACTGCCACCACACCCGGCTAATTTTTGTATTTTTAGTAGAGACAGGGTTTGACCATCTTGGCCAGGCTGGTCTTGAACTCCTGACCTCAGGTGATCCGCCCACCTCAGCTTCCCAAAGTGCTGGGATTATAGGCATGAGCCACCACATCCAGCCATCTAGGCTTTATTGTTCCATTTACACAGCGTGGCAGAGTAAATTTAGCTAATTCTTGCCAAGTGCAGTGGTATGTGCCTATGTCTCTGCTACTCAGAAGGCTGAGGTGGAAGGATCACTTGAGGACAGAAGTTCAAGACTGCAGTATGCTACGATTTTGCTTGTGAAAGCCATGGCTCCATGGCACTCCAGCCTGGGCAACAGAGCAAGACCTTCTCTCTCTCTCTCTCTTTTTGAGACAAGGTCTCACTCTGTTGCCTAGGCTAGAGTGCAGTGGCACAATCACGGCTCACTGCAGCTTCAACCTCATGGGCTCACACCATCTTCCCACCTCAGCCTCCTGAGTAGCTGCCACACACCACCATGCCTAGATAATTTTTGTATTTTTTGTAGAGACAGGGTCTTACCATGTTGTCCAGGCTGGTCTCAAACTCCTGGGCTCAAGTGATTTGCCCACTCGACCTCTCAAAGTACTGGGATTACAAGCATGAGCCACTGCGCTTGGCCAACCTCAGCTCTACAAAAAAGAAAAAAAAAGTCCAGGCACAGTGGCTGACTCCTGTCATCCCAGCACTTTGGGAGGCCAAGGAGGGCAGATCACTTGAGGTCGTTAGTTCAAGACCAACCTGACCAACATGGAGAAACCCCGTCTCTACTAAAAATACAAAATTAGTCGGGCGTGGTGGCGCATGCCGGTAATCCCAGCTACTCGGGAGGCGGAGGCAGGAGAATCACTGGGAGACGGAGGTAGTGGTGAACTGGGATCGTGCCATTGTACTCCAGCTTGGGCAACAAGAACAAAACTCTGCCTAAATAAATAAATAGATAAAATTAGCCAGGTGTGCTGGTGTGTTCCAGTAGTCTTAGCTACTTGGGAGGCTGAAGCAGGAGAATCACTTGAGCCCAGGATTTCGAGGCTGCAGTGAGCTATGATCTTGCCACTGCACTCCAGCCTGAATGACAGGGTGAGACCCTGTCTCAAAAAAAAAAAATCACTACTGACAGATCATAACAGATAAAATAATCAAGAAAAAGTTTGAAATATTGCAAGAATTACCAAAATGTGCCACTGAGACACAAAGTGAGCACAGGCTATTGGAAAAGTGGCACCTACAGACTTGCTCAACACAGGGTTGCCACAAACTTCAATATATAAAAAAATGCACATCTGTGGAACACAATAAAACAAGGTAATACCTCTACAGGGATTGGTACAAGAGTATGCCAGACACTCTTGTATGTGTATCACACAGCTACAGGAGATAATACAGCACATAGAAGTGAAGGATGACATGTAATATGCCATGTGTCCACCCCTTACCGCATGCCCCCTTCTGGCTCCTTTTACTATTACATTTTTTAGAGACAAGGGTCTCACTCTATCACTCAAGCAGGAATACAGTGGTGTGATCATTGCTCACTGCAGCCTCGATCTCCTGGACTCAAGCAATCCTCCTGCCTCAGCCTCCCAAGTAGCTTGGAATACTGGTATGTGCCATCACACCTGACTTTTTACTTTTATTTATTTTTGAAAGACAGCATCTTGCTATGTTGTCCAGGTCTCAAACTCCTGGTCTGGCTCCTTTTATTTATTTTATTTATTTATTTATTTTGAGATGGAGTCTTGTTCTTGTTGCCCAGGCTGGAGTGCAATGGCTCAATCTCAGCTCACTGCAACCTCTGCCTCCCGGGTTCAAGCGATTCTCCTGCCTCCGCCTCCCGAGTAGCTGGGAGTACAGACGTGCGCCACCACACCCAGCTAATTTTTGTATTTTTAGTAGAGACTGAGTTTCACCATGTTGGCCAGGCTGGTCTCAAACTCCTGACCTTGTGATCCGCCCGCCTTGGCCTCCCAAAGTGCTGGGATTACAGGCGTGAGCCACCGCGCCCAGCCTGGCTCATTTTATATGAATACATGTTGTTGTTGTTGCTGTTGTTGTTGTGAGACAGTCTCGTTCAGTCGCCCAGGCTGGAGTGCAGTGGCACAATCTTGGCTCATTGCAACCTCTGCTTCCCAGGCTCAAGCGATTCACGTGCCTCAGCCTCCCGAGTATCTGGGTTCACAGGCGTGTGCCACCACACTCGGCTAATTTTTGTGTTTTTAGTACTGACGGAGTTTTGCCATGTTGGCCAGGCTGGTCTTAAACACCTGGCCTTAAGTGATCCACCCGCCTTGGCCTCCCAAAGTGCTGGGATTACAGGTGTGAGCCACCACACCTGACCTAATATATGTTTTTTCCTTTGTATCTGTGTTTCTAGCTCTGTGTCACAGTACTTTTGTAGACTGTCCAGTTCCCACCCATCACTGAAGTAATTCAGAGCTTTCTTTTGGAGAAGCAGTCATCTCATGGTTAAGAATGCTGGTTTGGAATGAGTCTAGGTTCAAATGTCAGCTCCCCCGCAATCCCCACAATTATGTTATACAACCTTTTTTTTTTTGAGACAGGGTCTCACTCTGTCAACCATTCTGGAGTGCAGCGGTGTGATCATATGATCATAGCTCCCCGTGGCCTTGAACTTTGAACTCCTGAGCTCAAGTGACCCTCCCACGTCAGCCTCCAGAGTATTTGGGACTACAGACACACATCATCACGTTTGGCTCACTTATTTTTATTTTTTGTACAGACAGAGTCTCACCGTGTTGCCCAGGCTGATCTAAAACTCCTGGCCTAAAGCAATCCTCCCACTTCGGCCTCCCAAAGTGCTGGGATTACAGGTGTGAGCCACTGTGCCCAGTCTAATCTTGAACAAATTATTTTACCTCCCTAAGCTACCGGAACAACCACACATGCCACACAACCTGGGAAGGACCAACTCAGCCATTCTCCAGCAGCGAAGTGGCTGCCACCCCAGGGATATCTAACTAGAGGATGTGGGATGGAGGCGTCATGGCAAGGCAAGGCCTGCCCCCTGGTGGTCAGAGAGCATGGGAGGCCCGAGCTACCAATGGTGGCTTTTCTCAACTGGGCCTTGATTCCAGCTTCTGCCCGATCCCCTACCTTGCTTGCCTCCTTCTATCAACACCCCATTCACACCCCAAAGGATCAATATAGGAAAAATTGTCTCTACTATCTCAGCTGTAAGAAGCCCACGGTTTGGGGAGGGAGAAGAGGTCACCACCAGTGGGGACGTGGAATAAGTAACTGGCTGGGGATAAAACTCCACTCTTCCGGCCGGGAGCAGTGGCCCACGCCTGTAATCCCAGCACTTTGGGTGGCCGAGGTGGGCAGATCACCTGAGGTCGGGAGTTCGAGACCAGTCTGGCCAACATGGTGAATCCCCATCTCTACTAAAAATACAAAACTTAGCCAGACGTGGTGGTGCGTGCCTGTAATCCCAGCTACTTGGGTGGCTGAGGCACGAGAATCACTTGAATCCAGGAGGCGGAGGTTGCAGTGAGCCAACATTGTGCCACTGCACTCCAGCCTGGGCAACGAGCAAAACTCCGTCTCAAAAAAAAAAAAAAACAAACTCCACTCTTCCACAGTGTACACTCAATCACATGGTTCTACTCCACGTCCCAAGGCAATGTGGCTTAGAAGACAAATCAGCCTAGGTTGGAGTCCTGGTGCCACTACTGTAAACTGGGGGTACCACCTGTAAACTTCCAGACCCCATTGCCCTAGGTGTTCAATGTGTGGTTCTTCTCCAGTGCTTCCCCCGTCCTGTGCAAGGGTGGCAGTGCCATTGCTACACCTGGACTCAAGGGCATCCTGCTCTCCCAGCTCTTTTCTATATCTAAGACTTCTAAACATTTGTCATAGCTAAAAATGTTCCAGATTCCAAAGACAGTATGTGGGGTTTTTTTTTCAGTCCATCTAGAATAAATCCTGATATGTGTGTACATTCAAGGGACCCCTTTTAATAACTCTGAGAACCTCTAGGGAAGGCTAACCTGCAAGACAGGAACTGCTGCGCTAATCAGCACAGTGGGCACAAGAATGGAACTTTTTTTTTCTTTTTTTTTTCTTGAGACAGAGTCTTGTTCTGTTACCCAGGCTAGAGTGCAGTGGTGCGATCTCGGCTCACTGCAACCTCCGCCTCCCGGGTTCAAGAGATTCTCCTGCCTCAGCCTCCTGAGTAGCCAGGATTACAGGCACCCACTACCATGCCCAGCTAATTTTCATATTTTTAGTAGAGACGGGGTTTCACTATCTTGGCCAGGCTGGTCTTGAACTCCTGACCTCGTGATCCACCCACGTCGGCCTCCCAAAGTGCTGGGATTACAGGCGTGAGCCACTGCATCCATCCTGGCCAAGGATGGAACTTTTCTAAAGAAATTATTCCCAGGCACTCAAGAGGAAAGGCAACAAATAAAACAGTGTTGAAGTGGATGTGCACTGGTCTCTGTTTTTGTGTGTGTTTTTTTTGTTTTTTTTTTTTTGAGAGGGAGTCTCGCTCTGTCGCCCAGGCTGGAGTGCAGTGGTGTGATTTCCGCTCACTGCAACCTCTGCCTCCCGGGTTCAAGCGATTCTCCTGCCTCAGCCTCCCAAGTAGCTGGGACTACAGCGCCTGTCACCATGCCTGGCTAACTTTTTTGTATTTTTACTAGAGACAGGGTTTCACCATGTTGGCCAGGCTGGTTTTGAACTCCTGACCTCAAGTGATCCACCTGCTTCAGCCTCCCAAAGTGCTAGGATTACAGGCGTGAGCCGCCGCACCCAGTCTCTGGTCTGACTTCTTTAACAACAAGCTGTGGGCTGGCTGGATGTAGTTGAGGCCAATAAACTCCCAACTCAGACCATGAAAACAGGTGAAAACACAAAAGTCCACAATCCAGCACAGGTGATCTCATCTTTCCCCCACCCCCACCAGGGTTCCTCTACGTGCTGGCAGGGGTGAGATTGGGTGACTTCTCTGGCCAAGTCTTATCAATATTTTTCAACTAATGAATGGCTCCCAGGTGATGATACTTTCAGCTTCTGAGAACAGCTTCTCCTCTGAGGCTCATAGCATCTGACCTCACGACCTTCAATCTCTCCTTGGTGTCGTCCACTCGCCCTCACATTCATCAAGAGCCCATCCCTGACTCTGCAGCCTCTTCTCTATTTATTTTTTCTTTCTTTTTTCTTTTTTCTTTTTTTTTTTTTTTGAGACAGAGTTTTGCTGTTGTTGCTGGAGTGCAATGGCGTGATCTTGGTTCACCGCAACCTCTGCCTCCCAGGTTCAAGCGATTCTCCTGCCCCAGCCTCCAGAGTAGCTGGGATTACAGGCACCTGCCACCATGCCAGGCTAATTTTTGTATTTTTAGTAGAGAAAAGGTTTCACCATGTTAGCCAGGCTGGTCTCGAACTCCAGACCTTGTGATCCGCCCACCTCGGCCTCCCAAAGTGCTGGGATTATAGGCGTGAGCCACCATGCCCAGCCCACTTCCTCTCTATTTCAACCTCTGCCAACTCCTTAATGGACTTAATGTCCATATGAATGACTTTTTTTTTTTTTTTTTTTGAGAGAGAGTCTTGCTCTGTCACCCAGGCTGGAGTGCAGTGGCGTGATCTCGGCTCCCTGCAAGCTCCACCTCCTGGGTTCACGCCATTCTCCTGCCTCAGCCTCCCTAGTAGCTGGGACTACAGGCACCAGCCACCATACCTGGCTAATTTTTTTGTATTTTTTAGTAGAGACAGGGTTTCACCATGTTAGCCAGGATGGTCTCAATCTCCTGACCTCGTGATCCACCTGCCTCGGCCTCCCAAAGTGCTGGGATTACAGGCGTGAGCCACCGTGCCCAGCCATAAATGACATTTTTAAACATTGATATATAATTTCATACAGTAAAATGCACAGATCTTAATGTACAGTTTGATGACCTTTGGCCAATATGTACACCCATGCAACCACACTGTAATAGAGATATAGATAATTCTCATTATCCTGGAAAATTCCTCCATGCCCCTTTTTGGTAAATCCCTTTCCCCTCCTAGATGCAACCATTTTACCATTTTTAACCTCTGTAGACTTTTTTCTTGGGACAGAGTCTTGCTCTGTTACCCAGGTTGGAATGCAGTAGTGCAATTATAGTTCACTGCTGCCTTGACCTCCTGGGCTCAAGCCATCCTCCCACCTCAGTCTCCTGAGTAGCTACGACTACAGGCATATGCCACCGCACCCAGCTAATTTTTTAACAGTTTTTTTGTAGGCTGGGTGCAGTGGTTTAGGCCTATAATCCTAGCACTTTGGGAGGCCGAGGCAGGGGGATCACAAGGTCAGGAGCTCAAGACCATGCTGGCTAACACAGTGAAACCCCGTCTCTACTAAAAATACAAAAAAAAAAAAAAAAATCAGCCGGGCGTGGTGGCACATGCCTATAGTCCCAGCTACTCGGGAGGCTGAGGCAGGAGAATTGCTTGAACCTGGGAGGCAGAGGTTGCAGTGAGCCGAGATCGCGTCATTGCACTCCAGCCCGGGTGACAGAGCAAGACTCTGTCTCAAAAAAAAAAAAAAAATTTTTTTTTGTAGAGACGAGGTCCTTCTATGTTGCCCAGACTGGATTCTAACTCCTGGGCTCAAGTGATCCTCCTGCCTTGACCTCTCTAAGTGTTGGGATTACAGGCCTGAGCCACTGCGCTCGGCCTCTATAGATTAGTCTGTTCTTGAACATCATATTAATGGAGTCATATAGTACATACTCTTGTATCTGGCTCCTTTCATTCTGCTTAATGTCTGTGAGATTCGCCCACGCTGTTGTATGTATCAGTGTTTCATTCCTTTTTTTTGCTGAGTGGTAATCCTTTATATGATGTAGCACAGCTTGTTGATCTATTCACCTGATGAAGTACAATTGGGTTGTTTCTATTTTTTGTTTTTCTTATTATGGCTCAATCTGCTATGAAACTTCTTGTACCCATCTCGCAAATGCCTTTTCAATACCCTAAGTGTGCAACTTCACAGTTATTTCACCTTGTCCACTCCAATCATCACCTTGACTCTCCATGACCTACATCTCAGATCCTGTCACCATGGAAGCTGTTTCACTTTGAAATCTCACCTCCTCTTTCCCAAGGACATAAAAGCCATCCAACCTGAGTCCCCCAGACTCCTGTACCCTAAACGTGTGCTTTTATACCACTGTCCTGTTGGAAAATTTTTGGGTTGTTTCTCCCACTTTTTTTTTTTTTTTTTTTTGAGACAGAATTTTGCTCTTGTTGCCCAGGCTGGAGTGCAATGGTGCGATCTCGGCTCACTGCAACCTCCGCCTCCTGCGTTCAAGTGATTCTTCTGCCTTAGCCTCCCAAGTAGCTGGGATTACAGGCATGTGCCACCACACCCAGCTAATTTTGTATTTTTGGTAGAGATGGGGTTTCACCATGTCGGTCAGGCTGGTCTCGAACTCCTGACCTCAAGTGATCCGCCTGCCTCGGCCTCCCAAAGTGCTGGGATTATAGGCATGAGCTAGCACCCCTGGCCCCACTTTCTTTTTAAAAAGTGTTATTATATATTTTTTATTATATATATTTTTGAGATGAGATCTCACTATGTTGCCCAGGCTAGTCTCAAAGTCCTGACTCCGGGCTTTAGGTGTTCCTCCGACCTCAGCCTTTCACGTAGCTGGGATTATAGGCATGCACCTGGCTTCCCACTTTCATTCAATAAATTTTGCGCATCTACCATGGCTTTCCTAGGCAATCCTGTCATAGCCACAGTTGTCACTACTGCTTATTCTCTGTCAAGTCCCCAATCTACATCTCCCCCTCAGGCCTCTTTCTTGAGACCTAAGTCCACACTATCTAACTGCTCTCTAGGCGGCTTACCCTGAATACTCCACAGGCATTTCAAAGTCATCAGTGTCCACTCAGACCAGGTCAGCCTCCTGTCATCCCTGTCCCAGTGAATGGAAACACAAAGCCCCAGTCACTTAAGGCAAACACCTGGGATTCATCCTACTCTGCCTTCTCCCTCAGTTCCCCCATCCAAAAGATCTCCAGGCCCTGTCCATTTTGCTTCTGAAAGATCGCAGGTGTCTTTCCCTTGCTCTTCATTCCACTGGTTGCTAAATCCCTCATCAACTCAAGGGGAAACGAGCAGAGTTGCTTCTCTGATGGGTAGTGTGGTTTCTGCACAGCATCCCCTTCATCCCACCACTGCTGGGCATTGAGGTTCATTCATCTATTCAGCATTGCTCTTCACGAGGGCCTTCCATGGGCCAGACACCCTATCTTCATCTCTCTTAATCGCTCTTTTCAGTATCTCTCTCCTTATCTCTCATATTTCCCACAGCTCTGTCCACAACTCTTTCTGTCTCACCATGTTATTCATATTACTTGTTTCTTCCCCCGTGTCCACTCAAACGCCACATCTCTACACACCCCTACCCCTCTGCCTCTCTGTCACATGCATACACACTTCTGCTTATTCACTCATTCAACAAATATTCAGCGAGCACCTTCCACGTGAGACATTCTATTTTTTTTCTTTTTTTTTTTTTGCGCTCTCAGCTCACTGTAACCTCCACCTCCCAGGTTCAAATGATTCTCCTGCCCCAGCCTCCAGAGTAGCTGGGATTACAGGCACATGCCACCACCCCTGGCTAATTTTTGTATTTTTAGTAGAGATGGGGTTTTGCCATGTTGGCCAGGCTGGTCTTGAACTCCTGGCCTCAAGTGATCCACCTGCCTCAGCCTCCCAAAGTGCTGGGATTACAGGTGTGAGCTGCCGTGTCTGGTCTGCCTCTCCGTCTTTCTCTCTCTCTGTCTTCCTCCATCTCTCTTCGCATCGCTTTCTGCCTCCCCATCATTCTCCATGTTTTCCCTTCCCATCTCTCCCCATCTACATACCTTATTCTTTTACTCCATTTCTCTTCCTTCCCCATTTCTCTCTGGGTGAGAGAATGAAGGAAGGCTAGTGACTAGTCACCTCTTCCCTCTAGGGGCCAGAGTTCAGGCCTGCCTCAGCTCTGCCAGGCTGGTTGGCACTACTCTTGTTTGCCCTTGGAGTCTCTGCACAAGGATGCTTAAAAAAAAAAGTTTAGGCCAGGCACAGTGGCTACCGCTTGTAATCCCAACACTTTGGGAGGCCGAGGAGGGTGGATCACGAGGTCAGGAGTTCAAGACCAGCCTGACCAATATGGTGAAACTCCGTCTCTACTAAAAATACAAAAAGTAGCCAGGCGTGGTAGCATGCACCTGTAATCCCAGCTACTCAAGAGAAGAATCGCTTGAACCCAGGAGGCAGAGGTTGCAGTGGGCCAAAATCACGCCACTGCACTCCAGTCTGGGCGACAGAGTGAGACTCCATCTCAAAAAAAAAAAAAAATTTGTGCAGCAGCGACAGAAAAGTAACCTACAATATTAGAGGAAGACTCACATCTCTCAGAAACTATATATTAAGCAGGCAAAAACATTATTAAAGACAACGGGTGCGGTGGCTCATGCCTGTAATCGCAGCACTTTGGGAGGCTGAGGAGGGTGGATCACGAGGTCAGGAGGTCAAGGCTATCCTGGCTAACACGGTGAAGCCCCATCTCTACTGAAAATACAAAAAATTAGCCAGGCGTGGTGGCATGCATCTGTAGTCCCAGCTACTAGGGAGGCTGAGGCAGGAGAATCGCTTGAACCTGGGAGGTGGAGGTTGCACTGAGCTGACATCACTTCACTGCACTCCAGCCTGGGTGACAGAGCGAGACTCCATCCCAAAAACAAAACAAAACAAACAAAACACACGCACACACAAAGGTGGGAGTGTTATGTAAGAGAACTGCAGGGGATATTTCCACTCCCAGGCTCAAAGGGGTGAGGGGAGAGAGAGGTTACAGCAGTGGTTCTTAGTTATTTTGTGCCACAGATCCCTTTGGCATTCTAGTAAAGCATAAAATTTAAAAAATATACATACAAAAACAAATCGGCCAGGCGCAGTGGCTCACGCCTGTAATCCCAACACTTTGGGAGGCCGAGGCAGGTGGATCACCCGAGGTCAGGAGTTCGAGAGCAGCCTGGCCAACATGACAAAACCCTGTCTCTACTAAAAACAAAAAATTAGCTAGGCATGGTGGTCGGCGCCTGTAATCTTAACTACCTGGGAGGCTGAGGCAGGAGAATTGCTGGAACCGGGAGGCGGAGGTTGCAGTGAGCCGAGATCACGCCATTGCACTCCAGTCTGGGTGACAGAGCAAGACTCCGTCTCAAAAAAAAAAAATTGCATCGAAATCAAATTCCAGTTATCAAAATATTAATAAAAACTTTCAATAGAGTAAATTGAAACTGTCCCAAGATTGACAAGAATTGCATGCTGGGATCTGGGCAGAAATATAGTTATAATTAAGCATAAACCAGGCTGCACTTTGGCTCACTGCTCTATTCCTGCAAGTCTCCAGATCCTGACCATCTGCATCCCCGTTGTGCTAACATTAGGATGAGAATGTCTCTATATTATGATCCATTGTCTCTATATTTAAAAAAAAAAAAAAAAAGAAGCCAGGCACGGTGACTTACGCCTGTAATCCTGACACTTTGGGAGGCTGAGGAGGGCGGATCACGAGGTCAAGAAATCCAGACCATCCTGGCCAACATGGCAAAACCCTGTCTCTACTAAACATACAAAAAAATTAGCAATTAGCTGGGCTTGGTGGCGCGCATCTGTAGTCCCAGCTACTCAGGAGGCTGAGGCGGGAGAATCTCTTGAACCCATGAGGCAGAGGTTGCAGTGAGCCAAGATCATGCCACTGCACTCCAGCCTGGGTGACAAAGCAAGACTCTATCTAAAAAAAAAAAAAAAAAAAAAAAAAAAAAAAAAGACCAGCACTGTGGCTCACGCCTGTAATCCCAGCACTTTGGGAGGCCAAGGTGGGCAGATCACGAGGTCAAGAGTTTGAGACCAGCCTGGGCAACATAGTGAAACCCCATCTCTACTAAAAATACAAAAAAATAATGGCATGAACCCAGGAAGTGGAGCTTGCAGTAAGCTGAGATCCTGTCACTGCACACCAGCCTGGGCGACAGAGCGAGACTCCGTCTCAAAAAAAAAAAAAAATTGCTGGACGTGGTGGCGGGTGCCTGCAATCCTAGCTACTTGGGAGGCTGAGGCAGGGGTATCACTTGAATCCGGAAGGTGGAGGTTGCAGTGAGCCGAGATCGCGCTACTGCACACCAGCCCGGGCGACAGTGTGAGACTCTGTCTCAAAAAAAAAAAAAAAAAGATAATTAGTCACCATGGCTGGGTGCAGTGGCTCATGTCTGTAATCCCAGCACTTTAGGAGGGCAAGGCAGGTGGATCACCTGAGGTCAGGAGTTCGAGATCAGCCAGAGCCAACATGATGAAACTCCTTCTCTCCTAAAAAATACAAAACTTAGCTGGGCGTGGTGGCGGGCGCCTGTAACCCCAGCTACTCCGGAGGCTGAGGCAGGAGAATTGCTTGAACCCAGGAGGAGGAGGTTGCAGTGAGCTGAGATCATGTCACTGCACTCCAGCCTGGGTGACAGAGAGAGACTCCATCTCAAAAAAAAAAAAAAAAAAAACCTAAGGCGTGGTGGCACATGCCTGTCGTCCCAGCTACTCAGGAGGCTAGGGTGGGAGGATCACTTGAGCCTGGAGGTTGAGGCTGCAGTGAGCCATGACCATGCCACTGCACTCCAGGCTGGGCAACAGAACAAGACGCTGACTCAAAAGGAAGAAAAGAAAGAGAAGAAAAGTCTATCTGGGTATGATGATGACTCCTAATATCTTCTCTCTGGTGGTTGATCTGGTCATTTGATAAGATCTCTAGGCAGGAGGTCTTAAGACAATTGCACTTCTTTTGCAAAGAAGTTTTTTCAGTCAGATAAGGAAATTCCAGAAAGTGTGGTAGGACAATTCTAAGGCAGCTTCTAAGGCCTCTCAGCATTTCAAAGCACCAGTCTTTGGGGTATCACTTTCTGAGCCCCAGCATCTTCTTGCATGTCTATTCTTTTCCCCTCATCTCTGTTTCCTTCTCAGAAGGCCCTGAGTTTCCTTCTCCACCCGCTTGTCTTCCTATATACCCTTCAGTATTCACTTTTTTTGGTGGGGGGGATGGAGTTTCGCTTATTGCCCAGGCTGGAGTGCAATGGCGTGATCTCGGCTCACTGCAATCTCCACCTCCCAGGTTCAAGCGATTCTCCTGCCTCAGCCACCCAAGTAGCTGGGATTACAGGCATGCGCCACCATGCCTGGCTAATTTTGTACATTTAGTAGAAACGGGGTTTCTCCATGTTTGTCGGGCTGATCTCAAACTCCTGACCTCAGGTGATCTGCCTGCCTCGGCCTCCCAAAGTGCTGGGATTACAGGAGTGAGCCACCGCGCCAGGCCTAGTCTTCATTTTTGTCCCACAGTCAGAGCAGCTGTCATTCTCTCTATCCCAGGCAGTTTTTCTGAGCATCTAAGCACTGTCTCACCCCAGTAGTCTGTCAAGCCATTCTCAATGGAAAGACCAGTCTGGGAGGCAGTCTCACTCAGAATAAAAGCCAGAGTCTTTACAAGGCCCTACCCAAGCTGACCTCCTCCTCACCTGGCTTCAGCAGCACAGGCCTCCCTGCTACTCCATGAACACTCCAGATATCCACACTGCTCTCACATCAGGGCCTTTGAACTTGCTGTTCCCTCCACCTGAAATGTTCTTCTCCCATTGTGATATTGTTATAATAAAAATATATATTTTTGGGCCCGGGTGTGGTGGCTCACACCTGTAATCCCAGCACTTTGGGAGGCCGAGGGGGGCAGATCACGAGGTCAGGAGATCAAGACCATCCTGGCTAACATGGTGAAACCTCGTCTCTACTAAAAATACAAAAAAAAATTAGCCGGGTGTGGGGGCAGGCACCTGTAGTCCCAGCTACTCGGGAGGCTGAGGCAGGAGAATGGCGTGAAACCAGGAGGCGGAGCTTGCAGTGAGCCGAGATCGCCACTGCACTCCAGCCTGGGCGACAGAGCGAGACTCCATCCCCCCACAAAAAAAAAGGCCAGGCGCGGTGGCTCATACCTGTAATCCCAACACTTTGGGAGGCCAAGGCGGTCAGATCACAAGGTCAGGAGATCGAGACCATCCTGGCTAACATGGTGAAACCCCGTCTCTACTAAAAACACAAAAAATTAGCCGGGCGTGGTGGCAGGCGCCTGTAGTCCCAGCTACTCAGGAGGCTGAGGCAGGAGAATGGCGTGAACCTGGGAGGTGGAGCTTGCAGTGAGCGGAGATCGCGCCACTGCACTCTAACCTGGGCAACAGAGCAAGACTCCATCTCGGGGAAAAAATAAATAAATATGTATATATATGGGTTGGGTGTGGTGGTTAACACATGTAATCCCAGCACTCTAGAAGGCTGAGACCAGAGGATCACTTGAGCCCAGGAGTTCAAGACCAGCCTGGGCAACCTGGCGAGACTTCATCTCTACAAAAAATTTTAAAATGAGCCAGGCATGGTGGTGCGGGTCCCAGCTGCTTGGGAGGCTGAGATGGAAGGATTGCTTGAGCCCAAGAAGTTGAGGCTGCAGTGAGCTATGATGGTGCCACTGCACTCCAACCTGGATGACAGAACAAGAAACTGTCTCAAAAAAAAAAAAAAAAAAAAAAAAAAGGTCAGGCACGGTGGCTCAGGCCTGTAATCCCAGCACTTTGGGAGGCCAAGGTGGGAGGATTACTTGAGCCCAGGCAGTCAAGACCAGCCTGGGCAACACAAGGAGACCCTGTCTCTAAAAAAAATTTTAAAAATTAGCCAGGTGTGGTGGCACATGCCTGTACTCCCAGTTACTCAGGAGGCTGACAAGGGAGGATCGCTTGAGCCTGGGAGGTCAAAGCTGCAGTAGCCATGTTTGTGCCACTGCACTCCAGCCTGGATAACAGAACGAGACCCTGTCTCCCTGTCTCAAAATATTAATGTGTGTGTGCGTGCGTGTGTGTGTGTGTGTGTGTGTGTGTGTGTGTGTGTGTTTTGGTCTCCATCCTGGCTCCTGGCCAGACCTCCTAAAGCCCTTGTAATTTCCTAAATGATAAAGTGAAGGGAGCTTTTGTTATTCATAACAAGCTCTTTTCAACCACAACTGAGTTTATGTTAGTAAGTTGACTTTTAGAAAGCCCCTAAGGTTGGGGTTTGTTGCCAAGGTAGGCAACTGTGTGATTAGAGAGTTAGAACTTTTAGCTCCAACCCTCTGACCTCCAACTAATGGCTATTGAATCAAGTATGCCTGCATAATGAAGCCTCCATAAAAAAAAACAAAAAAGATGAGGGTTGGAGAGCTGCCAGGTTGATGAACACATGGAGGTGCAGGGAGGTGCCCAGAGAGGACAAGAAAGCTCCAAATCCCCCTTCCCCGATACTTTGTCCGGAGCAACTCTTCCATCTGACTGTTCCTAAGTTTTATCCTTCATAATAAACTAGCTAACATAAGTAAAGTGTTTACCTGAGTTCTGCGTGCTATTCCAGCGAATTACTGAGCCAGAAGAGGGAGTCATAAAAACAGTTAGGAGGCCTGGACTTGTTTGTGATTGGTATCTGGAGTGGGGGCAGCCTTGTAGAACTGAGCCCTTCAACTTGGGGATTAGATAACTGGTAATTATGGGTAGAGTGTCAGAACTGAATTAAACTGCAGGACTCCCAGTTAATATCTACCAAGAACTGAAGAATTGATTGGTGTGGGAGAAGTCTCCACATGATTGGTGTAAGAAGTGGTGTTCTTGGCCAGGCGCAGTGGCTCACGCCTGTAATCCCAGCACTTTGGGAGGCCGAGGCGGGCCGATCATGAGGTCAGGAGATTGAGACCATCCTGGCTAACATGGTGAAACCCTGTCTCTACTAAAAATACAAAAAATTAGCCAGGCATGGTGGCGGGTGCCTGTAGTCCCAGCTACTCGGGAGGCTGAGGCAGGAGAATCACTTGAACCTGGGAGGTGGAGGTTGCAGTGAGCAGAGACTGCACCACTGCACTCCAGCCTGGCCAACAGAGCAAGACTCCATCTCAAAACAAAATAAAACAAACAAACAAAAAAAACTGAGATTCTTTGCAAAGAGCCTGGAATAACTTCCTTTTAGTCCTGGACTATAATGATGATGATAAATATACCTCGATGTAACCCTGAGATCCCAAGATTCACTAGCCCTTGAATAAAAAAAAGGAAAAAGAAAAAAACAGTATATTTTTTCGTTTTGCAAATCACAGTTCCCTTATTAAGATGGAATTGCTGCCAATTACAGAGAAGCTATTTGCCTAAGCCAAAAATCCATGAGGTTCACATGGACTTACAGTTACACAAATTAGAAACAAATGTTATATTTAAAACCATAGAGAAATGCCCAGGTGATGAAAGCTGGGGTGAAGGAGTCTGCACATTCATTTCAAACTGTTAAAGGATTTGTGGGCCATGCAATGGTCCCTTGCATTAGAGAAGTCAAAGAGCTTTGTGCAATCCTCTCCTGTCTGTGATCTGGAAGACACGTGCTCATCACAGAGCTCCAGCTGCTCCGAGACTTTACTCCTTTCTTCAGCTGCACGCACTGCTCTCTCGCTTTTGTTAGGAATTGACTAATTCCTCCTCTTCCTCTTCCTCCTCCTCCTTGCCATCTCTAGGCCCAGTCAGCATCTCTTGTTCATCCTCTGATCCCATGTCCAGCTATGGTTCTGGATTCAACACTAGCAGCAACAGTGGCGCTGACTCCACTTTAGGATCAATAAATATTTTTCTGGCTAGGCGCAGTGGCTCACATCTATAATCTCAGTACTTTGGGAGGCCAAGGTGGGTGGATCACAAGGTCAAGAGATCGAGACCATCTTGGCCAACATGGTGAAACCTCGTCTCCACTAAAATTACAAAAATTAGTTGAACATGGTGGTGCGCACCTGTAGTCCCAGCTACTTGGGAGGCTGAGGCAGGAGAGTCGCTTGAACCCAGGATGTGGAGGTTGAAGTGAGCCAAGATCGCGCCACTGCACTCCAGTCTAGCGACAGATGGAGACTCTGTCTCAAAAAAAAAAAAATAAGTATTTTTCTTTCTAGCCGTATATCCACCTTACATGGTCCCTCAACTCCCCAAGCCCACTCTGCCTGCCCCATCTCCTCCTTCCACATCCTCTCCTCAACCTAGCACTTGGTTGGCAATGCCTTCCTCGATCCTCTGCCAAAGACCCTCTAGCCAGTGCTTACCCTGTCTGTTCTCTCTCTTTACCCAAAGAAATACATAAAGTTTGACCAGAATGGAAACAGAGATATCAGTGAAAAAAGGTGATTTGGGGAAGTGTGCAGGCCTAGGAAGACAGAGGCTTGTTCCTTTGCTTGCTTAAAATCTTTGATCAAACGGCCAGGCGTGGTGGCTCACACCTGTAATCCCAGCACTTTGGGAGGGCGAGGTGGGCGAATCATGAGATCAGGAGTTCAAGACCAGCC